>NC_000012.12:73369218-73520734 GCF_000001405.40 Homo sapiens
GGTGATTTTATCTGCTTATTTCTAAACTTGTAAGTTTTTCCATATTAGAGTAATAGTTCTTTAAAAATATTTTATTTCTATGGAATATATATTAAAAATTGCCATTTTAACCATTTCATATGTAAAATTTTGTGGCATTAATCACATTCATGATGTTAGGCAATGACTATTTTGAAAACTTTGTTATCATCCCTCCTTCCCCCAGCCCCAGGTAATTCTAATGTACTTTCTATCTCTATGAATTTGCCTATTTTAAACACTTCCTAAATGCAAACCAAATGCAAACAAGTCATTCATTTATGCAATGTAGGGGAGAAAAAGTTAAATCTTTTCATTACCCATCACAAGGTTCATGGCTGACACCCCTATAACAACATAGATTTACAACAGAAAAGCAGAACAAATTAATTCAACCAAAGTCTTTTGTGACATTGGGGCCTTCAGAATGAAGACCCAAAGACACAGAGAAAACCATATTTTTAAGCTAAGTCTGATGAAAGAAGTGAGTAATGGTGGAGAAACATAAATGGACAAAAAGGGGTATGATCTAACGGTAATAAACTGGGGGAACTCAGCAAGGCCTGTTTGTTCGGATTCTTTCCTATGTCTATGACATTCCTTCCCCCTAGATATGGGGGCAGGACACCAGTCATATGAGAATCTCCAAAAAGAGAGAGAAGAAGGCAGAAAGTGACCTTTCTTTAGGGGATAGGAATTCTAGCTTGTATGGCTTGCTTTGTGGGGAGAGAGGGAGACAGAAGAAAGGATGGCAAAAAAGGTCAGAGTGACCTTTAAGGAGGCATATTTTGGGTTAGTGTTTTCTGAACTTAGACATGAACAAATTTTTTTTTTATTATTATACTTTAAGTTCTAGGGTACATGTGCACAATGTGCAGGTTTGTTACATATGTATACATGTGCCGTGTTGATGTGCTGCACCCATTAACTGGTCATTAACATTAGGTATATCTCCTAATGCTAATCCTCCCCCCTCCCCCCACCCCACGACAGGCCCCAGTGTGTGATGTTCCCCATCCTGTGTCCAAGTGTTCTCATTGTTCAATTCCCACCTATGAGTGAGAAAATGTGGTGTCTGGTTTTCTGTCCTTGTGATAGTTTGCTCAGAATGATGGTTTCCAGCTTCATCCATGTCCCTACAAAGGACATGAACTCATCCTTTTTTATGGTTGCATAGTATTCCGTGGTGTATATGTGCCACATTTTCTTAATTCAGTCTATCACTGATGGACATTTGGGTTGGATCGTGAAAATGGCCATACTGCTCAAGGTAATTTAAAGAGATTCAATGCCATCCCCATCAAGTTACCAATGACTTTCTTCACAGAATTGGAAAAAACTACTTTAAAGTTCATATGGAACCAAAAAAGAGCCTGCATTGCCAAGACAATTGTAAGGCAAAAGAACAAAGCTGGAGGCATCACACTACCTGACATCAAACTATACTACAAGGCTACAGTAACCGAAACAGCATGGCACTGGTACCAAATCAGAGGTATAGACCAATGGAAAAGAACAGAGCCCTCAGAAATAATACTACACATCTACAACCATCTGATCTTTGACAAACCTGACAAAAACAAGAAAAGGGGAAAGGATTCCCTATTTAATAAATGGTGCTGGGAAAACTGGCTAGCCATATGTAGAAAGCTGAAACTGGATCCCTTCCTTACAACTTATACAAAAATTAATTCAAGATGGATTAAAGACTTAAATGTTAGACCTAAAACCATAAAAACCCTAGAAGAAAACCTAGGCAATACCATTCAGGACATAGGCATGGGCAAGGACTTCATGACTAAAACACCAAAAGCAATGGCATCAAAAGCCAAAATTGACAGATAGGATCTAATTAAACTAAGGAGCTTCTGCACAGCAAAAGAAACAAATATTCTTTTTACATCCTACTATGTGCTGGCATTGAAAAATATTCATGAGATTATAAAAATTAGGAAAATATTTAATCATTTCTGCCCTCATGGAGTTTACATTCTTATTATTGTTGCTTAGGTGATAATGTTTTTCTTTCTTCCTCCTCCCCTGCCTTTGGCCAGGATTTTTAGTAACATATGATTTCTAATGAGAACATCCTAGAACTTGAAAAGATGAAATAAATGATTCTGTTTCATGTTCCAAATGGCAGCTATTCTCCAGGGGATAAATATTTGAAAGATAGAGATGTAACAGCTTAAGTTTGTCCATCATTTTTCTCTCTTGGTCATTCATTTTTCAACTTGAGTTCAGGAGTTAAACAAAAAAGAAGAAACAGAGAAACTGATTTAATGACATCAGATTATTTCTTCAAGGGCTATAATATTATGATTAGTCTACCACTGGGAAACATTGAACGTTCAGTTGAGAATGCTCCCTAAATGTGTTGGTTGCTAACAAAGATAATAAAATCTTTCATATTTATGGTACTTTAACCATTGAAGCTTATGATTATCCTGTAAGGGAGACCACAACAGAAAATAATTTCATGTCTTATAATTGTGAAAACAATGATTATGTGATTTGCCCAGCATCATATGTAAAATCCTGTACTCAAACCAAGGTCAATTTAAATATTTTTATAATGGATTCTGTTGTATGGTATATGCAATGTAATTATCTTTGGCAATAGTAAATTTTAAGAGAATTTGGATCTAATAATCTCTATCAAAATTTTTGTGTAATGAAAGAAATCACAAATGACTTGAATAGAGTTTTATGTTTTTAAAGTGTATAATGCATTTATTTCACTTACTTCAATTTTGTTGTGTCATTGGTTTATAAATTCAGATACACATGAATAGCATTCTACATGTTTAACAATGGTATCTAACAGTGTGCTTACTATATCCCAAAATATATAGTAAGCAAAGTGAATCATTGTGTTACAAGGGTTAATAAACATTGTCCAAAAATTTATGGTCTATTTGGTCTGAATTGTGATGATAATGGGTTTTAATGCCATTTATGTGCTATATTTTTTAAAATTTGAATTTGTTAGTGATAACATCAGTAAAAAGTAAACATTGATCTTATACTGATGAATGAATCAATCCCAAAATGTGGTACAAAATTCCACATAAAGTATATTCAGTGTTTGTTATAATTCATATGCAGATAAATTAGCCTGTTCACAGATGCATGTAAAAGATCATAGGTGAACTACTTACCGAAGAAGAAATTTTATGATAATTTAGAGGGTTCATTATTTGACCTACTCTCTTTGGCTTGAGTAATACTTTCAGCATTTATATACTATATGTTTTGAAAAACTACATTAACATTTTAAAATTTGAATTCTTTTATGTGACTCTCCATATTTTATCAGGATCCAACTTGTAATTGACAGATCATTTAACAAAATGAATATCTTACATATGACTAATTAATGTGAAAAAAAATTAAATTTAGTGAATAATTTCCCCCAATGGGCACTCTTTGAGTAAGCTAATTCTCTAAATTTTTTGCATAAATTAATTTATAAATTATGCATATTTCAAAATTATTTGCATACTCATGAAGTGTATTTTGTCAAAATTCATATTCTACATTTTTATACTTGCCATTATTAACTCTATATGAATATTGACTATGCTGTTTCATTCTCATCTCTTTTTATGTTAGTGGTACCAGACTATAAAATGACAATTCCAAGTCTCTAATAACAGTAGTAATAACTGTTTCTTTTCATGTGCCAACTTGTTCTCACAGTATGACAGCTGCTGCTCTTCTCATTAGTATCTCTTTCATATTTTCATGCTGTAAGAGTTGGCACAACAAACAAGAAGCTACTTTTTCATCAATTCCTTTGTTGAATTCTTGCCAAAATATGGTAGCCCATTCTCTTCCTTTGCACCATTTCATGAGCTCAAATAGCCATGATGTATTCTGTTTAATACTTTCTGGCAGAGGTTATTGGAAATAGCCCTGCAATCATATTTCGGCAAAACACTATTCACCATTGTGAGAGATGCCCTGATGTTCCCATATGCCCATAAGGCTTTTTTTAGTTTCTTTTACTTTTTCAGCCAACCTACTCATAATAAAATTAATACATTGTTAACATCAGGTCCACAGCTATTTCCTATGACATCCATCTGGACTTCTCTTCCATAATAGGCAAAATTTTATTAATGGTAACAATCTGTTTTACCAGACCTGAAATATTCTGGACAATATTCCCAAAGTTAACAATTTTTCACATGAGTTTGCAACAGGTACTTCCAAAGCACTGAGTATATAGTCGGATTTGAATCTTAAGATCATAATTATGCTGAAAAAGAGGCCTGCTAGATTTAATATAGAGAGGTCTGATATGTTCATTCATATGATAATCCTGAGTTTCCAGAGGTTTTTTAGGAAATAGGTGCTATACTTGCTATTGTTTAGGTTTGGTTCCCTGGAACCAGAGGTGATACCTGGGAAAGTTATTTATTTAAGATGGCTTTCAGGAGAAAGGAGTGGAAGGAGAAGCATAAACCATGGAAAAAAGCCAAACAAGAATTTGGTTTTACCCAGAGACTTGCTTTAGCAAGATCTCACAGGGACATCTGTAGCACCAATTGAACCTAAGAGTTGTTTTCATTTTAAGGTAAGGGAGCCAGCTTCTCCTTGAAAGAAGTCCTCATGTGAGAAAGTCTTTAATTGTTGATGGCTAAGAGTGGCTGGCCAGATAACCTCTTACTTGAGCAATTGATGAGCTCCTGTTTGGCCAGGGAAAATACTCCAGAAAAAATACTACCTGTCAGTAATTAGAAGCCAACTGTCATACCAGTTGGGGTCAAGTCCACAAGCCTAGTAATTATAGGTATTTTATGTAACTGTAGATGACCAATTACATCAATAATAAGATATTCCGCACCTATAAAAGAATCACATCATGACTTTTTTTTGACACTGTGGTAAAATAGACAAAAACCTTATCATTTTAACCACTTCTAAATGTACAGTTCAGTGGTATTAAGTGAATTTATATTGTTCAACCATCACCACTATTCATCTCCAGAACTCTTCATCTTGCAAAACTGAAACTCTGTCCCTATTAAACAATGAATTCTCATTCTCTGCCTTCTCCTTTACCCCATTTCCTGCCCAGTCTCTAGCAACCATCATTCCACTTTTTGTTTCTGAGTTTTGACTACACTAAGTACCTCATACAAGTGAAATCATACAGTATTATACAGTATTTTGCTTTTTGTGACTGGTTTAATGCACTTAGCAAAATATTTACCTCTGTAAGCAGTATACTGTATCACATAGAGACAGACACAGCCATGGATTTTGAAATATCTTCTTCAATTTTGGGAAGCTCTTAAAAGTAACTCTGAAATTCAGTGTCAGCAAAAAAAGAAATTTGGCCTTTCTTTGTCTACTCTTACCAGAGTTTTGTATGTTTCATGCTCAGAAGCATGTCTGACTTTTTAGCCAACATCTATTATGGAAAATTTTTGTTTTTCATCACTTGAGGTTGTTTCTATAGCCCTCTCAGTACTGCAATACTTCTTTTCAATAAACAAAAAAGTAATGATCTATTAAAAGAATACAAGAGAATGTGATGAACTCTTTTTGCTTCATTCTATGGCAAGTAAAATAATGGTAGTGAATTAGCATTCCACATGCTGAAACTGTATTTAATTTGCATGTTATTAAATAATCAAATATTTTCTGATATACATTTTGATTAACAATCATTTGACCCATTTTATGGCCTCTTATCCATTTATGTTTTCCAGTAAAGGGTTTAGAAAAACATAATCATAATCGTAGAAAAAAGATAACTTGATGAAAACTTCATAAACTTAGTTTTGTTTAATAATCAAATTTAAATTACGAACAAAACATAATTTGACCATTTACATGATTTTTTATTAAATTGTTTGTACACAGCTTTTCTTGGATAAGCTTTAATCAGCATACTTTTCATTCACAGTAATTTGTTTACTCAAATTAACAGGAGAGATTATGCACTGTGTATCATATTGATGTTAGGTAGGTGTATACATCTAACAGCTATAAATATTGTATTACACCTAAAAATGAGTGATGAATAGCTCAGTCTTTTCAGTATGGTTAGAATTACTTGGTATTTTAACACTTTGAAAGCCTCATTTCACCACCATCTGTGCATGGGTGGTTTATACACTTTTTACTTCTTACTGAAAAGTTTGGGATTTCTTTCTCATTACCTGTCATAACCAATCATTGGCCAATGGAGTGTGATGTGCGTTGATTCTAGTGAAAAGACTTCCCCTAACTTAGCTTCACTTCAGACATCTATTACCTTACTGAACCCTGAACTTACTATTATAATTATTTTTTGGCAAGGCAAGCTTGGGTACCAGGGGCTTCATAGAGGTGAGACTAAGCATGGCAAGAAAGAATAGCAAATCGGAGTGAGACTAGCTGAACGATCTCACTTTTCTCAGGTGACTTGTGTGAGCAGCCATATACTGTACCTGACAATATTCTAAAAATGAGAATTTTTATATAACAGAGAAATTTTAAAATCTGAATAACAAGATATACCACCCTCTGTTTTCTGCCTGCATCCTATTACCTCTATTAAAATTAATTTAATCATATAAATGAGGTTTTTAAAAAATAAATAGATATAGCATTGACATTTTACTTTACAGTTCATAAACCTTTTTATTTGGTTTACACTCTTTGTTTGTTAAGTTCTCAAAATATCCTCTTGGGTTATGTAGGACAGATACTGTTACTCTGATGATACGTTTGTAGTAAAAATCAAGGCACAGTGAGAATGCTTTATAATATTTTAAAAGATTGTAGTCCCCAGATGAACTGTATGTGTGCTATATCTCATCACTTTCCACTCTGTGCTCATGGCAGATATTACTATCAGTCATGGTATATTTTATGAATTATAATATCTAAGATAACAAAGATATAGAAGTTTATGCATCAACCATAAGTACTTGCACCTTGCAGGTAAAGGGTAATCTAGCCCAGAGAACTATCATGCCTAGCAATTTTCTTCTAAGCGAAGACTGGAAAGCTGAGGAAAATCTTTGATACTAATCTATTGTTATATTCCTTCCTTCCTCCTGAGATACCACAGCCTGGAAGTTAATTTTTTAGGCTATTGTCTGGTGAAGGTAACAAATCTTGAAATATATCAGGTTCATAGCAATCAATCTCTCTCCTCTACAGCCAAACATATTCTCTCTTTCTCCCTCTCTCTCATTCTCTCTCCCTCATTCTTACCCTCTTGGACATTTCAGAGTTAGCTTTTATTATTATTATTTTTAATCTAACAGGCTTTTTTTTTATCTCAAGTCCTTCGCTTATTTTTTAATTGTAAATGGAACAACTTTAAGCATTGAATGTTCTATGTGTGATTGGGATCAAACTGAAATAATTGAAATAGTCAAAAGGGACACATATTTCCAGACTGTTTCAAATGTCTATTATCTTCTCAGAATTATAAACTCATAATGTGGCCCTGATTCTCCTTCACACATTTATATTGTGATTTATAAATATATATGCACTTTATCTATCATATTTACATTTACTTATCCAGTAAAAGCAGAATATTATAAGCATTGGCTAACATTAGACAGAATAATGCAATGACTCATGAGATAATATTATTGGTGCTTTAAGAAAAAAACAGTGTAATAATTAGCTTGACTTAATGGTCTGTTCTCTGCTTGGACAGTTTTAATACTTGCTGTTCACTGCTTTTAAATGGAATTTTTATTAGACTTTTGATTATTATTGACAATTTATTTGAAATCTGGAGATAAATATCTTTTGTAAAAAATAACTATTATTTTATTTGTATGTAGATCAGTTTTTGATACTGTAGACATAAAACATGTCTTAGACTTATTATATATTGCTTTAAGCAAGTATATGGAATTTTTCAAACAGTCATAATGTAGTTTTAAACTTGATCAGTAATTAAAAGTTTTCCCCAGTCATGCTCTCACCCATCCTCGGACTTCTGCTTTCTTAATATTGAAAGATGCCACCATCTTTTCAATTTTATAATTTAGTTTAGGAGTACTTACATATTGTTTTTATCTTCCTTCTTTCAGATACTCTTACATTCTATGTCAAATTATAGAAATCATAATCATCTTCTGGAACTCTTATTCTTATTATTTTATTTTTTTCTTGTTTTTGTTAGTTTTCTCTAAAAAGTCATTTATAATCAGTGTTCCCAATTCTTACATTTTTATTCATACCTCAACCTACTACTATTAGATTAGTTTTGTCTAATTTCATTGAATTTGTTCTTATTTAGTTTACAAATGGCCTCCTACATATAAAACCAAATAAGCTTCAATATGTTTTAGCTTTCTTTCTAGTTTTATTCACATAATAATGGGTTACTGCTATCCTTTCTTTATTGAAATTCTACTTATTTAGTATTAAGGATACAACCTGCTAATATCTAAGCGTTTATATCAATCTTATTATCTGCCATTTCCTGCAATGTCATAATAGCTGAATCCCCATATATATCAAATAAATCACTTTATAATACCTAGCCAATTCTGTCTCCTGATGTATCTGTTTCTATGGATGGTACCACTATCAATCCAGTTGTCCACATCAAGAGCCCAGAGGCCAATCATAGCTTCTATTTTCTTTGCCCACAACTGTATCCTGTCAGTCAATAAGAACTACAGATTCTGTTCTGTAAAGAGCTGTTTTGTATTGTTTTTAATACATTTTTATTTGTTCCTTCAGTAACTAATTAGTATGTTCTAGAAGCTATTGATGCTTAATGAGAAAAAATAGAGAAATTTTGGTATTCACGAAACTTATAAGAAGGTGGACAAATACTAAATAGACAAATCAAAAAATTATCTTATTATCTATTGTGCAGAACAAATCTTCATCAAAGTTAAGGCTTCATAACTATTTTCTGATATTCACAACTGTGAGGTTAGGAGTTTAGGCAAGGTGGCTTGTCTTTGCTATATGGTATCTGGGGCATGAGCTGAGCTAGATTAAATATATGGGAAGGTTTTAGATAGTTCAACTGGGCTCATATGTCAAGGTTTCAGATCTTCATTTGGAATATGCTGGTGGTGACATGTCTAAAATGGTTTCTTCACTGGTGCCTGGGCTGGTTAGCATCACTTTCCCTCCATGTGGTCTCTCCACATGGCCATTGTCAACTTCTTCAGATCAAAGTGGCCTTATGGCAGTCAAACTTCTTCCATTCTGGTTGGTTGAACCCAGGATAGCACTTTAAGGGAAGCAAAATGGAAACCACACTCATCCTCTGAAAGACTAGGGCCAGAATTGGAATGGCATTACTTTCACCATATACAATTGGTCAAAGCAGTCACAGGCCAACCCAGTGGCATCTGGGGAAATTTCTGGAGTATATTGGGAGACACGTGTTCCTGCTAGAGTCATTCAGAGCTTCATGGGCTTCCCTTAAGTCTTGCTGTGGTTGTCTTGAGGCTCAGAGAGGAGTGGTTTGACTAGCAATTCTGCCTTTGTTGAGGCTGGAACACTTTTTGTCTCTCTTTCTTTCTCTCTTTCTCCCTCCATTTCTCCCTTCTTTCTTCTTTCCTTCCTTTGTTTCTTTTTTCTCCTTTCTTATTATTTTAATTACCTCTATAGCTTCATAATGGATCTCCCTGCCTCCAGAGATGGTTTCCTTTCCTCTATACTCTGTATTGTATAGACAGATAAATTTTTCAAGTTCAAAATGTCTTATCATTCCTTGCTTAGTTAATGAATCTTCCAAACTTTTAGGATACAGGTCAAGTTTCTGAGCTCTCATATTAGCCCAGAAAACATTTGATATTTTAATGCTGATATACATTTGTGTATTCTTAAGACCTAATCACATATAACCTATGTATTAATGTTGGCTTATGCCCAGGTACCTCTTAAATTCTTTACTTTCTGATTGTAATTCCATGGCCTCTTCCCTCTTCCAGGGACATTATACTTCTATAAAGCATGTTTTTGTTGAAAATTATGTAATGGCATCTCTTCCTCTTTGGTAGAAAAAAAACAGCATGAGAATTCATGTCTTGCCAGAAAGTGTTGATTTCAATGCTGATATATAACAATTGCCAGACGAGCTTGTGTGGCCATCAACCTGAACCATCATACATGGAGGCACAGCTCCAGTCTCCTGATATCAGCTGGCTGAGATTTTGCACTTTCAAAGCCTTTGTTTATTTATATATAAAATGAGGTCAATCATTTTTATTATAACATTTTGTGAGTGTTAAATGAATAACATTTGCAAAGCATTTAGTAGGGCACTTAGCACAGTGTAAGTGGTATGTAACTGTTTGCTATTACCTTGATTACTTAGACTCCAAGAAAATTCAATAGTTTTTTTTCTTAAAAAAGGGAGTCTTTCTACTCTAGGTAACATGTAGACAATTAATCATATAGTATGACCAGGGCTTCAAGTAAGAATACATATGTGCAAGTATAGTAGTAGCTATAAGGAAATATAATTTCTACTCAAGAGGTAAGGTAGGGAATCTTTACAAGGAGATAACTCATACAAGGTATAAAGAGTGAGTAGTAAACTTTATGTTTGGAATCCCACCTCTTGGACATCAGACGTCAGAGTGTGCACACTTGTGTGTGTGCAAGTATGTGTGTATAATTAAAACTAAAGAGTAATCCAATGGTTATTTAAAACACCAGTAAAGGATTTTCAGGGCGGAGCATTTTTTTACTGATAATATTTAGAGCTGCTAGTGAATGGTGATAATAAATAGACTAAATTTGTCAGCGTATGGAATTTGATTTCTCTATAGGCAATGGGGCTTCACTCACTGCCTGTACCTGAAGCAATCACTCCCACTATAGTACTCATGATACTGCACTGGAGCTGGGTATACCCAACATAACGGGTACGTTTTCTTAATTCTCAAAATGTTGCTGAGCCAAATCATATTTCCAAAGGGGTACATCGATGGAGAGAAGCAACTGTCTTTTTTTTCTAATTGAACAATGTCATCTTATGAGTTACAGAGGACTCTAGGAATTCTAGGGAGAAAAAACAAAAACAAAAAACAGAAGTAAAAAGGCACCAGAGCATAAAAGAGTATGACACAACCAGAGAACTGATTTTAGAGCAAAGCAATAAGTGACCAGAGAATGAAGTGAAAATAGAGAAGGAGGCCACATCAGAATATTCAAGGCTTGGAGTACCAATCTATACTAATATAAGCAATTAGAAACTCATTCTAAATTCTTCAGGAGAATATTGAATACTTTTATACAGAAGTGATTGTTTGAGATTTTCATGTAGAAAGGTATCTCTGGCCACGATATGGGAAATAGAAGGGTAGAGAGTAAGAGTGGAGGCAGGGGATCATTGGGATCCTTTTGAAATATCAAGGAAAAAGTGATGAAACCTTGAATCAAGGCACTGTTTCTGATAAGAATACATTTTCTCTGGCTATACGAACAACACAGCAGCAGCTATGAGAAGTGGCCAAACTCTGAATTGCTCTGATGGGTTCTTTGAATCCCAGGATTTTCCAGCAGATGTCTCAAGCAGTGGCTTTTATATCTTCTATTCCTCACAGGAAAACTTGACCATAAGCTCGAGTAAGTATGTAATGTGACTTCATTGCCATTTCCAAGCCAGGCAAAATAAAATAATAATAATAATAAAAGCTCTAGGATCTGTGAAGCACATACCATCAGATTACATCATATACAATCCCTCTGTGCTGCAATTATTTATCACCCGCCCTTCATTTTCTTTCTTTCTTTTTTTTTTTTTTTTTTTTGAAACTAGTCTGGCTCTGTCGCCCAGGCTCCAGTGCAGTGGTGCGATCTCGGCTCAGTGCAAGCTCTGCCTCCCGGGTTCACGCCATTCTCCTGCCTCAGCCTTCTGAGTAGCTGGGACTACAGGCGCCCACCACCACGGACGTCTAATTTTTTTTTTTTTTTTTGTATTTTTAGTAGAGACAGGGTTTCACCGTGTTAGCCAGGATGGTCTCGATCTCCTGACCTGGTGATCCACCCACCTTGGCCTCCCAAAGTGCTGGGACTACAGGCATGAGCCACCGCGCCCGGCCATTTTCTTAAGATTTCAACATTTGCAACATAGTCTCACAGCCACTACTCCTGTCATAAGCCTTGATGATTTCTTTTATTCTGGATGATGCATCCTGATCCTGTTGATGTTTTTGCTTCAAATAACTTTATCTTTCACTCCATTCTCTCATTTGGTCACCACACTAATCCTGTCAAATTGTCATTATCAACAATAGTTTCCATTTTTATGAGCCTCAATTTCAAGAATCCCCAGAGTCCACTCTCTGGACACTGCTTTATAATTCCAGCATTGGATTTCTTGTAACCCTATTTCAACAGTTCCTCAACCCTGCTAGTACCTCCTGTCCGGTGACTCCTTACCTTTTCACATCCATTATCCCCTCCATAGCCTCATTGTTCTTTTTTACCCAACTTGCTTTCATGACACATGATGAAAATTACTCAATCCCACACATCTCAATTTCCTTATTCTTTCTTTCTCTATCATTTTTTTTTCCTGAAATTTCCTCAGGTATGGTTAAATATATGATTTTTTTTCCTACTCTATGTCTTCTCCCAAGTAGCTGAACATGATTGGAGAAAAAAAACATAACCATGCAAACTGACCTCGTGTTAAATGTGCTATCACAAACCTCAGTGAGTCCTCCTGACTGCTTGGCAATAGTACAGTATTTCTCAAAGAAATTTGCTCTCTTACTTTCTGAGATGACTATTTCTCACCTATTCTTCATTCTATTCTTATTTTGCTTGCTTCTAATTTCCCTAAGAAATGTAAGACATCTGATAAGAATTTATACTCAAAAACGATTCTACCTATTTCTGTATCCATATATTCTGCCTTTTATTTTATGGTAATGAATGAATTGATCCTACTCATATATAAGGCCAAAATCATCACATGTGTACCAGAACCTGTAACCTACTGAATTCGAGGAAAAAGTAAACATGCAATATGTTAAACTCTTGAGATTGAGGGTAGTTTGTTTCTGGAACAAAACCGATTTATTCAGACTGCTTCACAGTTATAAAAATAATTACTCTTTTATGTTGCTATTGCTGCATAAGAAATGAACACAAATCTAGAAGCTTAAGCCAATACCCATGTATTATCTTACAGTTTCTGTGGGTCAGGCATCCAGGCACAGCTTAGCTGGGTCTTCTGCTCAGCATCCCCCAAGGCTGCAAATGACTTTTGTTGAGACTGTACTCCCACTTGGAGGCTTGTCTGGGGAAAAATCCACTTGCAAACTTCTTAAGGTTTTGGCAAATTTGTTTCCATGCAGCTGTGTTACTAGAACCCTGACTTTTGCTGCCTGTCAGCTGCAGGCAGCCCTGGCGTCCTAGAGGCTGTTCACAATTCATCATCAGATGAACTTCTCTAGCATGGCCTCTTTGTTAATTAAACCTGTAAGAGTCTCTGAATTCTTTTAAAGCTTTAACCTGAATAAGTCCCCTGTTTAAGGGGTTTCACCTGATTGAGTCAGACCATGCAAGACTGTCTTCTGCTAATTAACTCTGAATAAGCCTAGACTGTAAGGTAAGAATATCTGCAAAATCCCTTCATGTTTGTTATACTCTTTTGACCAGTGGTAGGTAATGGGTTACCCGCCCCCCCCATGCCGCCCGCCACCCACACACACACACACACACACACACACATACACACACAGAGGGAGAGAGAGAAAGAGAAAGAGAGAGAGAAAAAGAAAGAAACTACAGGGGCAGCATTATACAGTGAATAAACTTTAGGTTATAGGGATTGTGGGGGAGCATCTTAGATTTCTGCTTACAACAATTTCTTAAAGTAATTTAGGTAGAGATACACAATGCTGTTAAAGTTTACTGGAAAATATTATTTGCATTATTTTGGTAATTGCGATTGAATTAGAGTGGTAAAAGACATAGAGAAAAAATGACAAGTTAAACATATTTTTATTAGTAAACTGAATAGGAATAATTAAGTATCATACAGGATAAATAGTTTCAAAGATAACTGTTGGGTTTCTGGCTTGAAACATGGATGAATGGTAGATCCATTTACTGAGTTGGAAATAATAGAGAAAGACAAGATTTGGGTGAGCTTATGGGGTTAGTTTTAAATGCATAAAGTCTTTGTTGCTTTTGAGAACTTTCAAGTAGACAGTCTAGAAAACATGAATTTATAGGCACTTGAAACTTAGTGGAGAGGTCTAGACTAGAGTTATAAATCTGAGGGCTCTCTTTGTTAAGTTATAAGCATGAAAGAGATTTAAGCATAGTGAGAAGAGAGATGGTCTATGACAGCACCTTGAGATATTTTAATATTTAAGGGTGGAACAAAAGAGAATAAACCTTCAATTGACTGAAAATGAGAAGTCAGAGATGTAAGAGAGAAATTAGAAGAGCTGCTTCAATAGGAAAATGAAGAATGATAAAAGTTAATTAGCTTTACTGATCCAAAAGTCTCCAGTAATTTTCAAGTTCTGGTTTGGTAAAACAATGAGGCTGAAAGATAGGCATGTGTGGTAAGGAAATAAGTCAGAGAGAAGCTGGCTATGACATTAAACAGACATAGCAGAACTTGAGGGGCTTGATATTCAAGTCAGAGTTTTTTCTTGTTTGTTTTCTTAATAAGAAAGATTTGGAAATTGATAATCTAGTGTCTCAGTAGCTCAATGTTCACAGAGTTTTGCAATTATATTGAATTACAGCAAGCCAATAAAGTTCAGGGTCATCAAAGTTCAAGCAAGTAGCATAGTCCAGGAAGAGAGCCAATATAACCAATCTTGTATAAACACAAATAAGGTGTGTGAAGGTAAAGTAAATAGACCAGCTATTAACAGCATGAAGGGCATCTATATGTGATCTGCTGTTACAAAAGTTGCCTGCCTAGGCTTTTTATTATTTACTTTAGGGAATTTTCCACTTCTCTGTCCTTATAAGGAGATATACTTTTAAAGAGATATAAGTAACATATAATCAAAGTTTTCAATGTACCAGGCAATATATATGAAATACTTTTTCTTATTATAATTCTTATTAGCCTTAATTGGACCACAGATGCCAAGAATTGAATTAATTATGGGCTAATGGCAAGCTATAAACATGGGCCATATATGCCCTCTTCCATTTTATTTAACATATTTTTTAACATATTTTATAGCTCTTGTGATTCTGTAGTTTTTCTACTCTATTTTTGACTGAGTGGGTAAATTTAACTCTGAAGTGAAGGGTTAGCTAACCCATTGCTTCCAAATTTCTAAACCACATTTTCTAAAATAGCATTTGCAAATGACAAATCTGATATTTATATCTACATTTGTTTGATTTCTACATCTATCTCTTAGTTCTGAATTCATGAAGAGTTGTATACAAGGACTTCTCAAACTTCACACATAACAAATTGCTTTTGATTGCACCTTGGAATATTCATTCTTGTTTTTTTTAATTAGGGTAAATATATAATTCACCATTCAAACATGGGTGTTTGAAAATGAGCAGGAGCACTATTAATAATTAACCATCTTTGCCAGTAACTTTGGAATATTGCACCAGTTAGCTTTGCTGCATAAAACCTGCTCCAAAATATAGTAGTACCTTGAAACAATAATAGCGTCTTATCTTCTGTAGGTTGGCTGGATGGTTTTAAATTTACCAGTTTTTCTGGGCTGGCAAAACCAGCCTGGAGCATGTAAGGTGGCCTCACTTACATGTCCAGCAGATGTAGGTAAGCCTCCTTTGGGTAGCCATTTCACATGGCAGTTCCACATTTCCAAAAAGGAGCAAGAGAGGTTAAACCCCAAGGAACAAGCACTTTTCAACTCTGCTTGCTTCTCAGATTTTCAGGCCTGATTGACCAAAACAAGTCACGTAGCCAAACACAGAGTACTTGCAGGAGGGGTTCTTGAAAGGAGTGCGTAGAGGAAGACATAAATAAATCAAGGCCAGTACAGCAACAATCTGCCACAAAAAGATACAGTCCCACTCTAAACATTATCTTATTCAACGGAATAGAAGCATGCATGATTTCATTTGATTAGAAATAAAACTAACAGTTTTAGGTCGGTAGTAGTTATAAATCAGAGTCAAATTTATGTTTAAGACATTTCACACTTATTTGCTATTGTTGTTGATTTCAAAATCAGGATAATTTTCATTCAGAACCTCCATCTGAACAGACTAAAAGAAATTTGAAAACTCATAATACGTGGGCTTCCTCTTCCTGTAAGTATGTGCCAAGTTTTTGAGATTTTAACTCAGTGCAAAGATGTAAAGGGGAGAAGGGTGTCCTCTCAGCTCAGTGTGGTTACCACTGAGATATGTTTTTATTAGGTCTTCTGGTTCTGCTGTTCTCATACAAGTTTGAGGAGTTTTATGACTTTGGTAATCCTGATTTACAGTCCTGCCTCTTCTCTCTTAGATGTACTATTTTGTCATTTTCTCTCTGAGGTTTTGCTTTCTCCTTTGGAGAATTGATTCAAATCAAACAACCAAATGCTCTTTCTCCTGCAATCATTCAATTTTCTACTTCTAACTTAGGAGAATTTAAAATACATTTACAGTCTGCAGAAACTCTCTCTTCAAACTCTATTCCCTTCAATAGTGTTAAGATTTTTTGGTGAGTATAAGAGTATATACCCAAAGGATTATAAATCATTCTACTATAAAGACACATGCACATGTATGTTTATTGCAGCACTATTCACAATAGCAAAGACTTGGAACCAACCCAAATGCCTGTCAATGATAGACTGGATAAAGAAAATGTGGCACATATACACCATGGAATACTATGCAGCCATAAAAAATGATGAGTTCATGTCCTTTGCAGGGACATGGATGAAGATGGAAACCATTACTCTCGGCAAACTAACACAGGAACAGAAAACCAAACACTGCGTTTTCTCTCTCATAAGTGGGAGCTGAACAATGAGAACACATGGACACAGGGAGGGGAACATCACACACTGGGGCCTGTTGGGAGTGGGGGGCTAGGGGAGGGATAGCTTAGGAGAAATACCTAATGTAGATGATGGGTTGGTGGATGCAGCAAACCACCATGGCATGTGTATACCTATGTAACAAACCTGCAATTTCCTCACATGTATACCAAGACTTAGAGAATAAAAAAAGAATTTGAGAAAATCTTAACCATTCATCAGTGGTTAAGATTTGATGAAAATATTCATCAAATATTTTCTCGGCTAAAAAAGAGACCTCAATATGATTTTAAGAATCCTCAAAAGATAAAAACAAAACAAGTCACTTAGCCAAACACAGAGTACTTGTAGCAGGGGTTTCTTGAAAGGAGTGGGTAGAGTTCCCAGTATCTGGTACATAAATATCTAGAATTCAATGCTGTGTTACACTTGGATTCATTTGAATACAGTAAATAAATGACTTCCTGGAACGTTAAAAAAAAAAAAAAGAATGAAGTCTTGAGAACTACTAACTAAATTCTGCTGCTTACTTTCTCTAAGGAACAATACTTCCTACTTGCTTGAGAGGGAACAGGTAGGGAAGAAGGAGAGAAACACAAATGTGCAACTAAAAACAAAAATTATTTAGTTACATGCTTACTTCAGAATAGCTTTATAAATAATACAAAGTAAACTTTCTAACAATGTTTTGAATAATAGCATAATTAAAATACGTAGACTCCTATGACTTTAAACTTTGAATGATGAAACATTTTTATGTACGGATTCTTGGACATTTGTTTTTCCCTCAAAATTTCATAAATATATTAACACAGTACTCACTGTTTTGGTGGTAAATAGTGCATTGATAAATAAGTAAAGACAGGAGAACCAAATAAAAAGCATAGTACTTTAAGTATGTTTTTGAATAGTCTTAAGTTTATAGATTCTTGAATATCATATTTTGTGTACAAAATATAATTTTTATTTCTGAATGGAACTGCTAAGGGAAAATGGTACGGACTGGAAGAGAAGTAAATAAGCAAAGATAAGAAAAAAAGTGCTCATTAAGTGTATTGACAGGAAAGAAACATTTTAATAAAAATTAATTAAAAACTCAAGGGAAAGCAAGATGTCAGTGTAATAAAAAGTGATGTTAAAATATAAAAGGGAGATTGACTGGTGTCAGTTTATTAGCAGTAATCCTGGGGGAGACAGATTGCTTCTCTAGGCACTGAGAAACACAGCAGTCTGTCAAGCAGTCACTGCACAAAGCATCCACTTCCCCATGGCAAACAGGAAGGGCAAAACCATCATCACTTTTGGCATTCGGTTAAGTGAAATTATTGTGCTTACTTTTTTGATTGGCTTTATTTTAACTTGCATATGCATATAGTGGTTCCTAAAATTATAGAATTGTGCTATTTTTAAAGTTTGATACGACACAACTTAGCTCTACATTTTGAATTGTTCTGATTTAAGCAAATATAGGTATACTGGTTAACTTTTGAACTGATGAAAATTCGTTACAATTGAATTCTATTTTATTCTGAATTTGAATAAATGTATTTTTAGTATTACAGAAATATGTGTCTATCCCCTAAGTATAGGTATCTATTACTACAGTAATGCATACCCGGGTAAATTGCTGAATTGGTAGATAAGGTGATTTCACTGTTACGGACAATTTTGTAATTTGTCTTCCCTTCTAAGAATTTGAGCTCTATTCATCAACATTTATGAGGACTTCATATTTTTCTGATAAATAATTATTCTTTGTTCTTTGTTTCTTATTTACTCTTTAAATAATTTACATATCTTTGCATAGCATAACTAGCTTGGTTCTTTTGATTAAATTTTAGTAGTTAAAAATTCCCATTTTTATCCTTGAGTTATGTAAGTTTAATATGAACTACTACTTTTATTTCTTAGATGAACTTAGCACAGTTTACGTCCATTCATTACTAACATATATGCTATTATTGTTGTGAATTTTAATTATTTCTAAATTTTAAACCCATTTATGTATTATTTTATATATAATTTTATATACACACATACTCCATAGAGATAGTCATGTACTGAACTAATCCTTGAGAATGTCTATTATTAAAGTAGAATAGATTTTGATGAACAATTAGCACTCTTCATCACACATAGAAGCCCCATGGCTTTAAAAATGTTTTTCCTTCTGACTCTGAGAACTCTGAGCATGAAGAAAATTTACTGCTAAGGCAGGTTAAAAATAAAGGCAGAGAAAACTTGGACTCAATCCATTCAGGAAACAAATACAAAGAATTTCAAGATCGGGCAGCTACTTTAATTAACAAATAGACAATCAACATTGTGCATAATTTTTGTAAATCAAATTTCTATATAGGTATATGTTGTTTTATCATTCAGTGTATAAAATGAACTTAGAATATATTTGTTGTTGCAAATACTAAGCCATACTAAGGCACTTAAAGAGGGGAATGTAATATCCCAGTACAATGGAAATGAAGAAAGATGCTATTTGACAAAAAGGTATTAAAAGAGTTGAAAGAACCAAGAATATCAGTTACTAAAACTATTTTCTTAGTCATATAGGACAATGGTCACTACCAAATGCTCGAGGAAGAACTGAAAGGGAAAATCAGAATTTCTGTGAATAATTCACTTAATATATTTTTATTTCCAATTTGATACATTATTTTGTTGTTGTCATTATGTCTGCGGATTTAATGCTCTCATTTGAGTATCTCTGTAGGATGAATTCTTTGCCACTTATAATGAAAATTATATAATTTTAAGTGGGCACAAATAAGCAAACTTCTTTACAAAATTCTTTTTATAGGCTCATATTATCTAAGCTATATATTGGATCATTTGTTTGAATCTAACCATTTGATGATTAATAATAAAACATTTCATTTAATTTAATGAGTTTATTTAAAGCATTATCATATCATATACTGTACGGAGTATTATAAAATTGTTTGAATACTTGATACATGTGTATATACATTGCATGCTAATTTTACAATATGTAAATTAAAACGTATGTCTTTCTGTGAAGTACTATTTTTTGAGTAGGTAATAATACTATGGAAAAAATAAAACATATCATAGCTGTGTAAATTTCAGGGAGGTCTTGTGTTACTAAATTACAGGACACTTATCAAGAGAGGTAGAATCTCAGGGTCATCAGTGTCCAATCAGTTGTTCTGCAGAAATAGTGTTAAGGGTCTGAGAATTTGAAATGCCATTTTATCTTCATTTATATGAATTTTTAATTTTCATATTTTAAAAATATCTCCCTAACCAACTTGACCATGCAGCATATATATGTTCACTGGGATTTTTATTATTATGAGAAATAAATTACCGTCATGAAATAGTGTTATATCATTACTGGTAGATTGATTATACTTTGTATGTCTTGAGAACTTAATTGAGTTTGTTGATTTATTTCTAATAGTATGCTAGGAATCTTCTTTTTTATAAGTTTATTTTTTTCTCTAAGTAATGAGAAATGGAGATCTCAATAATGTAACATGCCCTAAACTTGTGCAGATTAGATATGCCTTAAATGAATGGTGAGAGTTTAAAATCTTGATTATATACATTAAAAAAATTAGTAGACTTAAGATCACATCAGGGAACAATGGACCTCATTCTTTTCTACTGACAATTAATATACCTAAACTATTATCTTATGTTTTATAGTAGGGATATTCTATTTTTAGCAACTCCCAAACTATCAATATACTTGATGCATGTATCCTGTACTCTGAGGATCTTCTCTGTAAACATCTCCCCAGACAACCAACATTTTTCTTTCAACTCCTCAAATAGCTCCCTCCTCATTTGATAAATATTCTAAGTTCTGCAAATAACATAGCTCTCTTTCTCTTCCAAAACTTCAATAAATTCTAGCCTGTCATTTTAAAGAAAATTATTACCAAAAAAAAAAAGGAAAAATAGAGGCCACATTTTGCCTTTCTTTCTCTTTGCACAACTGGCAGTCTATATATCACTTATTTTTTATACAACTAATAGGCAAATGGAAATTAGAAAATAACAATAAAAATTTAAGGGCAAGCATGTCATTTTTGTCACAATAAAAATGGTAATTGTAATTTTCATTGCCAATATCCACAGAGTGATATTTGCTGAAGTGGTCAAGAGACCAAGAGACTAGAAAGATCTTTAAACACAGTACAATTTGAGAGCAACTCCTTAAGCTAATTAATAGGCAAAGAGAAAAAGACTGTACAAGAGAAGAAATTTTGGACTTCGTTTGACTTTCAGTTTCATATATGACAGACTTTGTACTTGGGAGATAGGAAACATAGTACGCTTTATGTTTAACTGTTTGATATGTACATCTTAGTGGCTTTCCAGTGCCTTTTTCTTAGGAGAACAGTCCTGCATGAGGCCTACAAAGACCTGCATGGTTTGGCCTCTACCTACTTGTCTAACTTCTTCTAAAACCATGCCACCTCCAGTTTTTCTGCTCCAGCACCAGTGATCTTTCTCCATTTCTTCATGTCCCCCATGATTTCTATAACAACACAAATTTTACAGATGCTTTCCTTTTTACCCTAAATTTTCATCTCTCTCCTCCTTAACTCCAGCTTTTAGCTTACATGTTGCTTACCCAGGGAAGCTTTGATTGACCCCAGGCTAGTTCTGTCTTTCACATGGCCACCATCTGATCGAAGTGTAATATCCACCTTTGGCATTTTGCTAGTGGGAATGTAATTATGGCTCAAGTTTTAGCCCTCAACTCTATGGCTTAAGATGATAGCTCACGATTTAACACTTCAATTTTAATTGTGGGTGCTTCTGACCTCAGATAGAACTGAATCATAGTCATACACACACACACACACACACACACACACACACACACACACGCACACACAGAGAGAGAGAGAGAGAGAGAGAGACTCTGATACTCTTGCTTGGATCTGGGATCAGGTAGAGATTAATTCTGCCAGCAGTGGGATAAGCGAACATTGGCCTGTTTCTCAAGTTCTCTGAGTTTCAAATTTTCCATCTGTACAGTAGAGATAATTACAGAAATGCTTCATATTTATTTCTGTTGTTTTTGCTTATTTTCAGGTGAATTTAACTTATCCAAATAAAGAGATACATACAGTGGCTATGCTACCATAGCAATAAATAAATGTTAGGTTTCATTATTATTTTCAAAATAATTTATTTCTCCCAATAGTATTTATGAAATCGAGAAAGTTTAACTGTTATAACTTTCCCCAAAAAGTTCAAAATATTGACTCCATAGTCTCATCCCACTTTTCTGTCATAATCAAAGCA
Source organism: Homo sapiens (assembly GCF_000001405.40). NCBI lineage: Eukaryota > Metazoa > Chordata > Mammalia > Primates > Hominidae > Homo > Homo sapiens. The sequence goes on from NC_000012.12 coordinate 73,391,481, forward strand.
CTGTGCAATTGATTGGAATTCATATTCTATTTTTTTAAAGAAAAAACATGCAAATTATTTTGAACAGTCAAAATCTATATTTAAATGATAAATTTTAAAAGAAAATAAGAAAAAGCTTAAATGATATAATCCAGAGAACAATCAATATTACTAAATATGATAAGCTGCAATTTACTAAATCATTTAAAGTTTCCTTGTCCTATATAATTTGGTAGATAAATATTTGTCTAAAGAAGTTTAGATGACTGATTTTATCCCAATGTACTTATTGATCAATAGCAGTATGAACGACTCTGGTAGACCTAGTAGAACAAAGTACTTTATCTGAGAAATCAATGCAAGAAAATACCTGAAATTTTAATAAATTTCACATAAAAAATAAGATAATTTTAATAAAAAAGAATAAATGCTGTTGCTATTGAAACAAAACTTTTTCATTAGAGGTGTGAAATTTCTCTCTTGGACACAATTCATTTGAGATTTATTTTGCTACTTTCAAAAAATCGAGGCTGTCTTGAGACTTTCTGAAATGATTAGTTCTGCTTCCTATTTCCACCTGACAGGCAGAGACTTGCTCTTTATTATCTCTGAGATTGCCCCATTAAGAGACTAGAGGCAAAGATCCCCATCTTTGCAATCTCTTAAAAGTATGATAAACTACAATTATAGGATCTTCTATTTTCCCTGATCTACAGTTTGCCATCAAGACACTCATGATGTAACAAACTAATACAGATTTATAAATTCATAGTATTTATAGATTTATATTTTAGTCCAATTCGTAGTTCAATATTGGCACATAAAATATCAAAGTTGTATTGCTAAATATAACAATGACAATTGTTATAGTTAATCCTCAACTAGTCACCAATATAAGAACGAAAATAGTCCCCATGATAAAAAGACACTAAAGAATGTAAGTGTGAAAGGACAGTCTTAATAATAAAGTAGTATTCACAAATCATAAATGCTTTTTACTCTAAGTGGTTATTGTAATGGTATTTCTATTTAAATTTCTAAGCCATAGCTTCATTTCTATTTGTTCAATGTTCCTTATTTCTCAAAATATGAGAATGTCCACATTAAAAATACAGCCTTAACCATGGAGTTATTTCATACATATAGTCAGTTAAAGTATATATTAGGTTGATACCATGTGGCGGGATCTTTGCTATGCAGTAAGGACAGAGCGCTGTATAGTTAAGTCATGTTCCATGGTTATTTGAAGCTTATAACTGTAAATACTAAAATCATTTTATGATTTTATGGACATGGACAACAGTTCCATGTCCAACTCAAATAACAGTTATTCAATTAACAGAATATATATAAACTTTGACTCCATATACATGGGAAAATATTTTCATACATATAGCTTCCATAAATTATTCTCACTTAATAAAAGTGTTTTTGTGAAATTCAAAATTATGCAATAATTATCTTCCAAAACATTAATTTTTATATCAACTACATAGGAAAAATGATCTGTTTTGTACATGTAAAATATATGCATGCATATGTTTATATATGTGTATGTGTATTGCAATGGTAACGTGGCTTTCAAAGTTTCATCATAAATGCTATATTTACCTATTTGTCATAAAAGTGTTTTCAAATGCCATAGAGGCATACCTTTTATTTTGAAGCTTTGAATCTTGAAAGTCTTCTTTTGTTAATATTTATCTTTTTCTAAAAATAAAATAAGTAATTTTAAAGAAAAAAACAAATTAATACATAAAATTCACACACATACACACATATGTGTGTGTGTGTGTGTGTGTGTGTGTGTATATATTCTCTTAATTGGAAGTCCAAAACGTCGAATATATACATTGAATTTAGAAAACTGACCCTATGTAAATTAGCTTCTTTAGTTTCTCTAGTATCTACATGAGACTTATTTTTGTTCCTTCAATTGATTATACATTTTTTTCAAATCCTGATTAAAATATAATATATAACTATTTAAAATGGAATCAGAACATAGCCTACAAATTAGTTTCTTCCAACTTCTAAAAATATTTTTTATGACCATGGTAGAGGTCTTTTTGTACAATGATGATGCTTTATCATGAAGGCATCATCATCATTTCATTTGGAAGGCAACATTTCAAAACAACATTCCCTATTCAGGCTTCTCCTTTCACCATATTTCTACCTCCACGTAGTGTAGTGAAGAAAACGATAGAGCAGGAAAGAATAGATGCTGTGGAAGGTCATCACAACCTATGGTTAAAGTTTTCAAAGCTGCCACTCATTCAGAAGAAGGGAACAGAGAATAGGCAAATCTTGGGCAGGAATGAATACTGGGATGTACAGATGTTAACTACGACTTTATTTAAGAAAGTTAGACAAAGCCGTTAGGAAAAGCTGTTGTCTCACAAGAGCAGGATAAGCTAAATGAATCCATGCCATATGTATAGAATTAGGCTGGCTCTTCCAGAGTATGAAAAGGGGAAATAAAATACCATTTGCTCATGACTGCTATCACCAGATACTGATTCCAGATCTGAGAAATGGATGAGAATGTGAGCAGACATTGAGATAATTGATGCAAGGACGACCTGTGAACAGCAGAATGAGTTAAGTTTTCCATCCCACACAATTCCTGGAAAGTATGGGAAGGTTATGATCTTTGTAATATCTGTTATACATGCAATGGGGGCTGCTTGCATGTGTCTTGGGAGGGAATTATATATAACGTATACTGGCAACAATCTTTCACAGAAGTTATTTTTAAGTGTAGAGAAAATGTAAGGATGCTGTCTCTGAGTGCATGCGTGTGTGTGTGTGTGTGTGTGTGTGTTGGAAAACTGAACATACTAAAACATAGTGGACATATTGGAACATATCTAAATCTTATAGAGAGATATTTTCAAAATACATATCTTGTTATATATTTGAAATATAAATGTGGAAATATATGTGTATATATATATATATATATTTATATATTCCAAATAAAAAAGGGAGCAAAATAAAAAAAAGATGACCAGCTTGAGGTAGAAGAGAAAAAGAATAATCAAACAATTGAGAACATCAACAGCACAGAAAACAAATACTAAGATGAGCAAATGCAAAAGCTAACCATAGAAAAAAGAGATACTTTGGAAACCATAAAAACCAAAAAGGTAATTTTTATAATTCAGTTATTATATTCAGGTCTTCAAGTCTTCAGATATATTTAAGAATATAATAGTAAATAATTTTTAAAAAGCAGGAAAAAGGGGAACCAGACAGCAATAAGGAATTCATGAGAATTTCTAAATTGCCACAATTTAAAATTTAACATAAAAGCTCTAAGAAAGACAATTCTTTAAAAAAGTTGAGGGGAGGAGCCAAGATGGCCGAATAGGAACAGCTCCCATCTACAGCTCCCAGTGTGAGCAACGCAGAAGACGGGTGATTTCTGCATTTCCATCTGAGGTACCAGGTTCATCTCACTAGGGAGTGCCAGACAGTGGGTGCAGGTCAGTGGGTGCGCGCATCGTGCGCTAGCCGAAGCAGGGCGAGGCATTGCCTCACTTGGGAAACGCAAGGGGTCAGGGAGTTCCCTTTCCGAGTCAAAGAAAGGGGTGACGGATGCACCTGGAAAATCAGGTCACTCCCACCTGAATATTGCGCTTTTGGGACAGGCTTAAAAAACGGCACACCACGAGATTATATCCTGCACCTGGCTCGGAGGGTCCTATGCCCACGGGGTCTTGCTGATTGCTAGCACAGCACTCTGAGATCAAACTGCAAGGCAGCAGCGAGGCTGGGGGAGGGGTGCCCACCATTGGCCAGGCTTGCTTAGGTAAACAAAGCAGCCGGGAAGCTCAAACTGGGTGGAGCCCACCACAGCTCAAGGAGGCCTGCCTGCCTGTGTAGGCTCCACCTCTGGGGGCAGGGCACAGACAAACAAAAAGACAGCAGTAACTCCTGCAGACTTAAATGTCCCTGTCTGACAGCTTTGAAGAGAGCAGTGGTTCTCCCAGCATGCAGCTGGAGATCTGAGAACGGGCAGACTGCCTCCTCAAGTGGGTCCCTGACCCCTGACCCCCGAGCGGCCTAACTGGGAGGCACCCCCAGCAGGGGCACACTGACACCTCACACGGCAGGGTATTCCAACAGACCTGCAGCTGAGGGTCCTGTCTGTTAGAAGGAAAACTAACAAACAGAAAGGACATCCACACCAAAAACCCATCTGTACATCACCATCATCAAAGACCAAAAGTAGATAAAACCACAAAGATGGGGAAAAAACAGAACAGAAAAACTGGAAACTCTAAAACGCAGAGCGCCTCTCCTCCTCCAAAGGAACACAGTTCCTCACCAGCAACGGAACAAAGCTGGATGGAGAATGACTTTGACGAGCTGAGAGAAGAAGGCTTCAGACGATCAAATTACTCTGAGCTACGGGAGGACATTCAAACCAAAAGCAAAGAAGTTGAAAACTTTGAAAAAAATTTAGAAGAATGTATAACTAGAATAACCAATACAGAGAAGTGCTTAAAGGAGCTGATGGAGCTGAAAACCAAGGCTCGAGAACTACGTGAAGAATGCAGAAGCCGCAGGAGCCAATGCGATCAACTGGAAGAAAGGGTATCAGCAATGGAAGATGAAATGAATGAAATGAAGCGAGAAGGGAAGTTTAGAGAAAAAAGAATAAAAAGAAATGAGCAAAGCCTCCAAGAAATATGGGACTATGTGAAAAGACCAAATCTACGTCTGATTGGTGTACCTGAAAGTGATGGGGAGAATGGAACCAAGTTGGAAAACACTCTGCAGGATATTATCCAGGAGAACTTCCCCAATCTAGCAAGGCAGGCCAACGTTCAGATTCAGGAAATACAGAGAATGCCACAAAGATACTCCTCGAGAAGAGCAACTCCAAGACACATAATTGTCAGATTCACCAAAGTTGAAATGAAGGAAAAAATGTTAAGGGCAACCAGAAAGGTCGGGTTACCCTCAAAGGGAAGCCCATCAGACTAACAGCGGATCTCTCGGCAGAAACCCTACAAGCCAGAAGAGAGTGGGGGCCAATATTCAACAATCTTAAAGAAAAGAATTTTCAAGCCAGAATTTCATTTCCAGCCAAACTAAGCTTCATAAGTGAAGGAGAAATAAAATACTTTACAGACAAGCAAATGCTGAGACATTTTGTCACCGCCAGGCCTGCCCTAAAAGAGCTCCTGAAGGAAGCGCTAAACATGGAAAGGAACAACCGGTACCAGCCGCTGCAAAATCATGCCAAAATGTAAAGACCATTGAGACTAGGAAGAAACTGCATCAACTAACGAGCAAAATCACCAGCTAACATCATAATGACAGGATCAAATTCACACATAACAATATTAACTTTAAATGTAAATGGACTAAATGCTCCAATTAAAAGACACAGACTGGCAAATTGGATGAAGAGTCAAGACCCATCAGTGTGCTGTATTCAGGAAACCCATCTCATGTGCAGAGACACACATAGGCTCAAAATAAAAGGATGGAGGAAGATCTACCAAGCAAATGGAAAACAAAAAAAGGCAGGGGTTGCAATCCTAGTCTCTGATTAAACAGACTTTAAACCAACAAAGATCAAAAGAGACAAAGAAGGCCATTACATAATGGTAAAGGGATCAATTCAACAAGAAGAGCTAACTATCCTAAATATATATGCACCCAATACAGGAGCACCCAGATTCATAAAGCAAGTCCTGAGTGACCTACAAAGAGACTTAGACTCCCACACATTAATAATGGGAGACTTTAACACCCCACTGTCAACATTAGACAGATCAACGAGACAGAAAGTCAACAAGGATACCCAGGAACTGAACTCAGCTCTGCACCAAGCAGACCTAATAGACATCTACAGAACTCTCCACCCCAAATCAACAGAATATACATTTTTTTCAGCACCACACCACACCTATTCCAAAATTGACCACATACTTGGAAGTAAAGCTCTCCTCAGCAAATGTAAAAGAACAGAGATTATAACAAACTATCTCTCAGACCACAGTGCAATCAAACTAGAACTCAGGGTTAAGAATCTCACTCAAAACCGCTCAACTACATGGAAACTGAACAACCTGCTCCTGAATGACTACTGGATACATAACGAAATGAAGGCAGAAATAAAGATGCTCTTTGAAACCAACAAGAACAAAGACACAACATACCAGAATCTCTGGGACGCATTCAAAGCAGTGTGTAGAGGGAAATTTATAGCACTAAATGCCCACAAGAGAAAGCAGGAAAGATCTAAAATTGACACCCTAACATCACAATTAAAAGAACTAGAAAAGCAAGAGCAAACACATTCAAAGCTAGCAGAAGGCAAGCAATAACTAAAATCAGAGCAGAACTGAAGGAAATAGAGACACAAAAAACCCTTCAAAAAATTAATGAATCCAGGAGCTGGTTTTTTGAAAAGATCAACAAAATTGATAGACCGCTAGGAAGACTAATAAAGAAAAAAAGAGAGAAGAATCAAATAGACACAATAAAAAATGATAAAGGGGATATCACCACCGATCCCACAGAAATACAAACTACCATCAGAGAATACTACAAACACCTCTACGCAAATAAACTAGAAAATCTAGAAGAAATGGATAAATTCCTCGACACATACACTCTCCCAAGACTAAACCAGGAAGAAGTTGAATCTCTGAATAGACCAATAACAGGAGCTGAAATTGTGGCAATAATCAATAGTTTACCAACCAAAAAGAGTCCAGGACCAGATGGATTCACAGCCGAATTCTACCAGAGGTACAGGAGGAACTGGTACCATTCCTTCTGAAACTATTCCAATCAATAGAAAAAGAGGGAATCCTCCCTAACTCATCTTATGAGGCCAGCATCATTCTGATACCAAAGCCAGGCAAAGACACAACCAAAAAAGAGAATTTTAGACCAAAATCCTTGATGAACATTGATGCAAAAATCCTCCATAAAATACTGGCAAAATGAATCCAGCAGCACATCCAAAAGCTTATCCATCATGATCAAGTGGGCTTCATCCCTGGGATGCAAGGCTGGTTCAATATATGCAAATCAATAAATGTAATCCAGCATATAAACAGAGCCAAAGACAAAAACCACATGATTATCTCAATAGATGCAGAAAAGGCCTTTGACAAAATTCAACAACCCTTCATGCTAAAAACTCTCAATAAATTAGGTATTCATGGGACATATTTCAAAATAATACGAGCTATCTATGACAAACCCACAGCCAATATCTTACTGAATGGGCAAAAACTGGAAGCATTCCCTTTGAAAACTGGCACAAGACAGGGATGCCCTCTCTCACCACTCCTATTCAACATAGTGTTGGAAGTTCTGGCCAGGGCAATCAGGCAGGAGAAGGAAATAAAGGGTATTCAATTAGGAAAAGAGGAAGTCAAATTGTCCCTGTTTGCAGACAACATGATTGTATATCTAGAAAACCCCATTGTCTCAGCCCAAAATCTCCTTAAGCTGATAAGCAACTTCAGCAAAGTCTCAGGATACAAAATCAATGTACAAAAATCACAAGCATTCTTATACACCAACAACAGACAAACAGAGAGCCAAATCATGAGTGAACTCCCATTCACAATTGCTTCAAAGAGAATAAAATACCTAGGAATCCAACTTACAAGGGATGTGAAGGACCTCTTCAAGGAGAACTACAAACCACTGCTCAATGAAATAAAAGAGGATACAAACAAATGGAAGAACATTCCATGCTTATGTGTAGGAAGAATCAATATCGTGAAAATGGCCATACTGCCCAAGGTAATTTACAGATTCAATGCCATCCCCATCAAGCTACCAATGACTTTCTTCACAGAATTGGAAAAAACTACTTTCAAGTTCATATGGAACCAAAAAAGAGCCCGCATCGCCAAGGCAATCCTAAGCCAAAAGAACAAAGCTGGAGGCATCACACTACCTGACTTCAAACTATACTACAAGGCTACAGTAACCAAAACAGCATGGTACTGGTACCAAAACAGAGATATAGATCAATGGAACAGAACAGAGCCCTCAGAAATAATGCCGCATATCTACAACTATCTGATGTTTGAGAAACCTGAGAAAAACAAGCAATGGGGAAAGGATTCCCTATTTAATAAATGGTGCTGGGAAAACTGGCTAGCCATATGTAGAAAGCTGAAACTGGATCCCTTCCTTACACTTTATACAAAAATCAATTCAAGATGGATTAAAGACTTAAACATTAGACCTAAAACCATAAAAATCCTAGAAGAAAACCTAGGCATTACCATTCAGGACATAGGCATGGGCAAGGACTTCATGTCCAAAACACCAAAAGCAATGGCAACAAAAGACAAAATTGACAAATGGGATCTCATTAAACTAAAGAGCTTCTGCACAGCAAAAGAAACTACCATCAGAGTGAACAGGCAACCTACAAAATGGGAGAAATTTTCGCAACCTACTCATCTGACAAAGGGCTAATATCCAAAATCTACAATGAACTCAAACAAATTTACAAGAAAAAAACAAATAACCCCATCAAAAAGTGGTCGAAGGACATGAACAGACACTTCTCAAAAGAAGACATTTATGCAGCCAAAAAACACATGAAAAAATGCTCATTATCACTGGCCATCAGAGAAATGCAAATCAAAACCACAATGAGATACCATCTCACACCAGTTAGAATGGCAATCATTAAAAAGTCAGGAAACAACAGGTGCTGGAGAGGATGTGGAGAAATAGGAACACTTTTACACTGTTGGTGGGACTGTAAACTAGTTCAACCATTGTGGAAGTCAGTGTGGCGATTCCTCAGGGATCTAGAACTAGAAATACCATTTGACCCAGCCATCCCATTACTGGGTATATACCCAAAGGACTATAAATCATGCTGCTATAAAGACACATGCACACGTATGTTTGTTGCGGCATTATTCACAATAGCAAAGACTTGGAACCAACCCAAATGTCCAACAATGATAGACTGGATTAAGAAAATGTGGCACATATACACCATGGAATACTATGCAGCCATAAAAAATGATGAGTTCATGTCCTTTGTAGGGACATGGATGAAATTGGAAATCATCATTCTCAGTAAACGATTGCAAGAACAAAAAACCAAACACCGCATATTCTCACTCATAGGTGGGAATTGAACAATGAGATCACATGGACACAGGAAGGGGAATATCACACTCTGGGGACTGTGGTGGGGTGGGGGGAGGGGGGAGGGATAGCATTGGGAGATATACCTAATGCTAGATGACGAGTTAGTGGGTGCAGCGCACCAGCATGGCACATGTATACATATGTAACTAACCTGCACAATGTGCACATGTACCCTAAAACTTAAAGTATAATAAAAAAAAAAAGTTGAACCTGAAAAGACAAGAAACATGAAATACTAAGGAGATGTTAAGTAATCTAGATTAGCAATCCAGGGGTACCAACATTTATCAAATGAGTCCTAGAGAAATAAAATAGAGAGTGCTTGTGTATGTGTGTGTCAGGGGAGGGGACCAATCAAAGGACTTTAAGAACGGTATTTCTTAGAGGTGAGAAACCTATTATTTGCCAGTGGGGAAGACCTTATCAAGGGTTGAAGAGAATCAGTGACAAAGACTTCCTGCTTTGATTTTTCCTTGTTTAATGTCCAAATATCAAAGATAAAGAAAACACCTGAAATTATTCAGAAGTATGCTTTATTACCAATTGATGAGAAGCAGGCCCATTCCAGGTTCCTCTGTAAAAACAAAGAATATTTAAGCTCCATAGTGTAATTTTTTAGTGCTTTTGATTTGAAAATGGTTTTGAAATTAGAATTCTGTGCCCAATTAATGTACATACAAGTACATAAGGAATATTTTCATTCATGTTCTGAGTATCAGAGTCATAGCAGGAAAAAGCTGGAACACTCAAATTTGGATAATTAGAGGAGGGTTCATTTGCAAAGGAGGGTGGGTGATTAATTGTATTTGTCAACTTGAGTGGACTAAAGGATGCCTAGATAGCTGGGCAAACATTTCTGGATGTGTCTGTGAGAGTGTTTCAGGAACAGAATAGTGTATGAATCAGTAGTAGACTGAGCAAAGAATAGCTACCCTCACCCGTGTGGGCAGGTTTCATCCAATCCCCAGAGGGTCCAAAGAGAACAAAAATGTGGAGGAAGGGTAAATTCTCTGTCTCTCTGCTGTCTTGAGCTGGGGAGCTGAGACACCTATCTTCTCCTGCCATCCTGGTTTGAGGGCCTTCAGCCTCTGGACCCCACCAGCACCACCCTGCTTCCCTCCCAGGTTTTCATGCCTTCAACCTCAGACTGAAGGATACCACTAGCTTTCTGGGTTTTCCAAGTTGCAAATGGCAGATGGTGGAACTTCTTGGCCTCCAAAGTCACGTAAGCCAGTTTTCATAACAAATTGTACCCCCGTATATATACACACACCTATATTTATATATATATCATGTTGGTTCTGTTTCTCTGGAGAACTCTGACTAGTAACAGAAGAGGATAGTTAGTGGAACATTGAAAGAGAGATATGTAGATAAATCACTCAATCTGACCTTTGGTCAAAGTAAATATCCAGTCCACGGTGGGAAGCCCTTGCAGGGAGGGAACCAGGGATGAAATACTCTAACCTTTTCTCTCTTCTTCTAATCTCCTGTCAGAACTTCTTATGGACTGAACCCAGAAGAAAGCTAGATGATGTGCAGACTTTGGATGCAATTCACACAGGCTAGTTCCTTGCGGATAGAAAGCAGGTTTAAAAAGAGCAGAGACGGACTCTGGAGAGACAGACTAAATATATTTGGCATATTGTGTCTCAGAAAGTTTACCTCATATAACTGTGATATTTGTACTTGGAGAAACATGAAAAAATAGAGATAAAATAAGACACTGAATTCAAGAGACAGTGGAATTAAACTCATTATGGAAGATACAGAGTAGATTTAATCTGTCAATTTATTATTTAATAAGTAATTTAAGAAAATTCATAATTTTGGTAACATTGTAAGAAAGCAAGAATAAAGAGAAAGACATAAGTTTAGGTAAAATTATATTTTGTACAATAATGTTTAAATATGAAGCAAACTAAAATATAATATATAAAGTATTAAGAAATTGATTGAGCATAAGCAATAGAATCCTTTCAATCTTGACACGTTAACATTCTGTCTCAAGTGAAATAAATTTAGTAACACATAACCGTAATGTAGTATTTCTCTATAGGTCAACTTTGCTACTTGATTCTGCACTTAATAATAATTGCATAAGCATAATATTACAAATACCATCTTGTTTAGAATTAACCTATGGATACAAAAAAAGTAGTACCATTACAGAGCAGAAATTAAATGCTCTACTATAGCACTATATAGCATATTATATCTATTATATATATATATTGCAAATGAACCCTCCTCTAATTATCCAAATTTGAATGTTTTAGCTTTTTCCTGCTAAGACCCTGATACACAGAACATGACTGACTGAAAATATTCCTCATGTACTTGAATGTACCTTAATTGGATACAGAATATATACATACATATACACATATATATATACGTATATACATATATATATACACACATATAGATATATGTAAAACAAAGCAATAATATCACTGGCACAAGTTGGAAGGCAAAGTAGATAGTAAGAGAATGATAAATGTAAGACTAAAGATTGCCTAATTTTGTATAATATGAAGTCAATATGAATTGTTTAATTTTATATTTAAAAAATGGAGGGTTAAGCTTACTGATAGAAGAATCACTCCCTAACTTAAGAAAAATCTGGGCAAAATAAAACTCAGTTATTTCGTTGTATCCCACAGAAAACTAAGGTCACAGGGCAAATCACTGTCCTGAAATCTGAACAAATAAATGTATACAGAGAGACAAAGTTGGTATCTGCTTAGACAGAAAAGAAGTCACATAAGCCATAAACTGGTAAGAACACTTAAATGGTAATTTTGATGAATTCCTGGAGGCCAACAGTGAACTAGCCTGACAGTGAGAAAGTTCTAGTGGTTCACAATCTTATGTGGGCCCCACACTTTCACTTTGCTAGGCTTAAATTCCAGCAATCCCACCAGATTCATAGAGCCTAGCTAAGGTGGCTATGGCAGGAGAAAAGGGGAGAATAATCATTATAAAATGCCGCTGCAATCTTCTCCATGACCAAATCTTATTCTCTAGGTAACAACACTTTGCCAGTGTCTTGTCCCAGCTGTGAAAGGGGAATTCCTTCCAATCAAGTCTGCTCAAGGTTTTTCTCTCACCAAAGCATGAAAAATGTAGTCCACAGGACTCAGGTCAGGGAAGTCAACTGAGAACACTGAAGACACAAATGGGAGTAGAGGGCAGAAGTCCACTAGAGAAACACTTCTGAATACCACAGTCCTGGGACTAGGCCCACTAAAACACTGAAATTTAATCAGGGGATTATAGAACGCACACCTTGCTCCACATTTTAAAGCCCAAGAAGACTCCAGTGTACTAACAGTTGATTATTGCCAGAAGGACTGTAAGATACAGCCTCTCCCTGAGAAAAAAATATTTAAAGAATACAAAAGTCATTGGGAAATATAAAAACAAAACAAACAAAAAAACTAGAATCATCTGGCTATAGTAAAAATTAAACACAACTGAATTTCTATCTAGTTTCATGTAATATCTCACACTAATTCCTATTATCTGATACAAAATGTATAAATTTTAACAAAAACAATTATAAGGCATGCTAAAAGCCAATAAAAAACAGTCTGAAGCTATGAAATTGAGACAGAACATAAATTCTTGCATTAGTGGACAGGGAATTTAAAATGACCCTGATTAATATGGTAAGAATTTCAATGGAAAGAGTAGTCAACTTTCCAGAATATTTGGGTAATGTATACGGACAGATGAAAATTCTGTGAAATAAGCTGAACCCAGTCAAGGTAATAATCAGTGGCTTGAAAAGATAGGTCAATGGAAATCTCTCCAAATGAAATTCAAACAGAAAACAATAATAATTTTTAAAAACAGCATCCAAGAACTATGGGACAATATCAAAAAGTAAAATATATGCATGTTGCAGTGCCAGAAGGAGAAGAGATAGCAAAACAGAGGATTTATTTAAAATAATAATGGCCAAGAACTTTGCCAAATTAGTGGCAGACACAAAACCACAGATCAAGAAAGCTCTGTGAAAAACAAACAGGTAGATAGAAAAAAAAAAAAAGCAAACATCAACAAAAACTACACCTGGAAATGTAATATTCAAACATTGAAAAAGTAAACACAGAAAAAGAAAATCTTGAAAGAAGACAGACCAATGAAGTGGGAATAGGGACACTTACTAATTTAAGAATAAAGATACGAATTATTATATGATGGTCTTCTTTTCAGAAAACATGCAAACGGGAAGACACTGAAGCAAAACAATCAATGTGGTCAGGGAAAAAACATATGAAACTAGAATTTCACACCCAGCAAAATTATCTTTCAAAAGTGAAGAATAAACTAAAGATTTTTCTCAAACAAAAAATAAATAAAAAATCCTAAGGAAATGTATTGCCAGTAGATCTGCTCTGCAAGAAATGTTGAAAGACTTCTTCAGTGATAGGATAATGTATGTAGGTCCAAAACTTGTATGTATATAAAGGAAAAGAACTAAAGAAGGAATAAATGGAGATGATTGATTATTTTGTATAAGAAATATCTTTGTCAAATTAGTTTTGAAAATTAGTTAACATGTAAGGCTTTTCGGTAATGATACAGCCACTGGTGAAAAACAAAAAAAAAGGTCATTCAGTTAAAAACACTAAAGAGATGAAGAAAGTAATATTATTATATAAGGCTAACAGTATTCAAAAGAAATCTGTGGTAACTGTTTTAGTTTCAAATAAAGCTAAGCTCAGAATAAGGAAGATTACGAGAGATGCATTACACAAAAATAAAGAAATCAATTCTTCAGGAAGACAAAACAATCTTCAATGTATATGTGCCTACCAGCAGATCATAGTTTTGCCTCAAATACATGAGGCAAAAACTGAACTGAAAGGAGAAATAAATAAAAACTACTATTATAGTTAGACTTTAATGCTTTTCTGTTAGTAACTGGTAGGTAGAGCAGCAGAACAACTGTAAGAATACATATTGCTTGAACACCCCTATTAATCAATCTGATCTTTCTGACATTCATAGAACAGTTCAGGCCACACTGGAGAATACACATTTTTCTCAAACTTGCAGGAATCAATTACTAAGATAAACCAAATTTTGGGTCATAAAATGTACCTTAACATATTTTAAAGTATTTAAATTATACCATGTATGTCCTCAGATCAAAATAGAATTAAACTAGAAGTCAATAAAGGAATTGAGCTGGGAAATATCCCAAAATATTTGAAATTAAACTACACAGTTTTAAGTAACAGATGTTCAAAGAAAAAGTGTCAAGAGAAATTCAAAAATATTTTGAACTAACTTAATATGAAAATATAATATATCAGAATGTGTGGCTACAACAGAAACAGAGCTTACAGGGAAACTTCTAGCATTAAGTACATAAACTAGAAAATAAAATCTCAGTTCAATAACTAATTTAAATAAGTAAATGAATAAATAAATCAATGAGAAATTAGACAAAATTTCTATGAAGAAAAGTTCCAAAAAGTGTATATGGTACTCTCTCCTGAAGGAATTGAGGGATAAAAGATCAGTCCTTAAATGAAGATTTTACATTATAACTTCTTTCTAAAGAGCAGAATATGATGAGGAGAAAAAAGGTAACTTGTAGTTGAGGCACTTGCAAACACTATCTCAGCCAGGTGATCAAGGTTAATATAATTAGTGATAAACCCTGTTGTTTGTGTGTACCCTTGCTATGGTGCGATGATGACAAGGATACTTTAGCTCTGTGTTTTTTTTCCCTAGTAATCCATAACCTTATTCTAATTTTAAGAAATATAGTCCCCAAACCCAATAGATTGACTTTCTTTACAATACCAGACCAGTACTCCTCAAAATTGTTAAGGTCCTAAATAAAGGAAAAATAAAGTATGAGAAATTCTCACTGCCAAGAGGAAGAGGAACCAAAGAAAACAAAACAAGGATTGTTCTAGATTGAATCCTGGAAAGAAAAGGACATTAGGCAAAAACAAAGAGAACGTAAATAAAAAAGGGGCTTCAGTAAATAATCATATATCAATATTAGTTCAATATTAGTTCATAACACATCTACCATACTAACGTAAGATGTTAATATTAGTGACACTTGATGTGGGATATATGAAAACTATCTATGCTGTGTTCTCAATTTTCCTATAATTTTAAATCTAATCTAAAACAAATAGTTCATCAAATAATAAAGCTAAGTATTAAAATTCTAAATGAATTTTTAAAATTATAAATGATAATTACAAATAAAAAGAAAAGTTGAGAGCAGAAATGCAGATCTGATAAACAACTTCAGCAAAGCCTAGGATACAAAATCAATGTACAAAAATCAGTAGTATTTCTATACATCAATAACATTCAAGCTGTGAACCAAATTAGAAAATTTGATCCTGTTGACAACAGTCACAAAAATAAAATACAATACCTAGGAATACATCTAACCAAAGAAGTGAAAAATCTCTACAAGGAGAACTACAAAACACTGCTGAAAGAAAACATAGATGACACAAATGGAAAAGCATTCCATGATCATAGACTTAAAGAATCAATATTGTTAATATGTCCATACTGCTCAAAGCTATCTACAGATTCAGCACTATTCCTATCAAATCACCAACATTATTTTTTACAGAATTAGAAACAACTATTCTAAAATTCATATAGAACCAAAAAGAGCCCAAATAGCCAAGGCAATCTTAGGCAAAAAGAATAAAGCCAAAGGCATCATTTTACCCAACTTCAAACTACACTACAAGGCTACAGTAACCAAAATAGCATAGTACTGGTACAAAAATAAACACATAGAACAATGGAACAGAATAGAGAACCCAGAAATAAAGCCATATACCTAAAATTACTGATCTTTGACAAAGTTGACAAAAATAAACAATGGCAAAATGATACTCTATTTATTAAGTAAATAGTGCTGAGAAAACTGGCTAGTCGTGGGCAGAATAATTAAACTGGTTCCCTACCTCTCACCTTAAACAAAAATTAACATAAGATAGTTCTAAGACTTAAATATAAGACCTCAAAGTATAAAAATCCTAGAAGAAAACTGAGGAAATACCCTTCTAGACATTGGCCTAGGCAAATAATTTATGTCTTCTAAAGCAATTGCAACAAAAACAAAAATTGACAAGTAGGACCTAATTAAAGAACTTCTGCACAGTAAAATAAACTATCAGTAGAATAAACAGACAACCTACAGAATGGAGGAAAATATTTGCAAACTATGCATCTGACAAAGGTCTGATACCCAGAATCTATAAGGAACTTAATTCAACAAGCAAAAAGCAAGAAACCCAATTTAAAAATTGGCAAAGGACGTGAACAGACATGTCTCAAAAGAAGACATATATGCAGCAAACAAACATATAAAAAAATGGGTCATGTTACTAATCAGAGAAATGCAAGTCAAAACCACAATGAGGTATCATCTCACACTAATCAGAATGGCTGTTATTAAACAGTCAAAACATTACATATGTTGGCTAGGTTGTGGAGAAAAGGGAATCCTTACACACTGTTGGTGGGAATACATATTAGTTCAACCTCTGTGGAGAACAGTTTGGAGATTTCTGGAAAACTAAAAATAGAAGTATCAATTGACCAGGAATCCCATTACTGAGTATATACTAAAAGGAAAATAAACCATTCTACCAAGAGACACCAAAACTCACAAGTTTATTGAAGCACTATTCACAATAGCAAAAACGGGGAATCAACCTAGGTGCCATCAGTAGTGGACTGGATAAAGAAAGTGTGGTACCTATACACCACGGAATAATATTCAGCCATAAAAATGAATAAAATAATGTCCTTTGCAGCAACATGAATGCAGCTGGAGGCCTTTATCCTGAGTGAATAAATGCAGAAACAGAAAATCAAATCCAACACGTTCTCACTTATAAGTGGAAACTAAACATTGGTTACAAATGAATACAAAGATAGGAACAATAAACACTGGGGATTAAAAAAGGGGCAAGGAGAAAGACAGGCAAGGGTTGTAAAACTACCTACCAGCTACTATGATCACTACTTGGTTGATAAGATGATTAGAAGCCCAAACCACAGCATCACAAAATATTCCCAGGTAACAAAGCTGCATATGTACTCCCTAAATCTAAAAGAAAAAAAAAAAAGATTGTCCAAAAAATAAAAAGAGGAGGGAGAAGAGAAGAAGAAAGGCCATGTGTATCAATTTTTTTTTAATTTTTATCAGAAAGGCACAATAAATATTGGTTTAAATTAATAAATATGTCAACACATTATTTAAATTTACAGTGAAAGTCACTAAAAGAGCTAAAAACAAAATGGTGTAAGATATAAATCCTGAGATTTTTGGCTGTGGGAGTGGTAGAAATGCTTCTACCTTTTATTCTGGGTGCAGATGCAGCTATGCAGCTATTTTGTTTTTTTGTTTGTTTGTTTGTTTGTTTTGTGAGACAGAGTTGCCCAGGCTGCAGTGCACTGGTATGATCTCGGCTTACGGCAACCTCTGCCTCCCAGGTTCAAGCGATTCTCATGCCTCAGCCTCCCAACTATCTGGGACTACAGTTGTGTGCCATCATGCCTGGCTAATTTTTTTTTTTTTTTAATAGAGATGGGGTTTCACCATGTGGGCCAGGCTGATCTTGAAGCCCTGACCTCAAGTAATCTACCCACCTTGGCCTCCCAAATTGTTGGGATTACAGGAGCTGTATTGTTTGACTGTTGTTCCATGTATATACAATGTCTTTAATATAACAACCAACTATTATTGAAAGAGAAGATATATAATATAAAATCAATCATTTAAGCATAACTTTGGGGCTAAGTATTTTCAAAGCTTAAGCTATTTGTGGGAGAGAAAGGTCAGTGTGAGGTGTCAAGAAATAGTAAAATTATATATCAAATTCCTAATCTTAATTTGAAAGAACTCATATGGCCTTGTCCTACTAGAAGAATAAAATAATTCTAAAATCATAAAGGCAACTGTGGTGGGCTGAATAATGGTCTCTTCAAGATGTCTGTGTTCTAATCTCCAGAACCTATGAATGAATATGTTAGCTGACACAGTAAAATAAACTTTTCAAATGTGATTAAGTTAATAATCTTTTCTGTTTATTATACTTTAAGTTCTAGGGTACATGTGCACAACGTGCAGGTTTGATACATAGGTATACATGGGCCATGTTGGTTTGCTGCATCCATCAACTCATCATTTACATTAGGTATTTCTCCTAATGCTATCCCTCCCCCAGCCCTTCACCCCCCAAAAGGCCCCGGTGTGTGATGTTCCCCACCCTGTGTCCAAGTGATCTCATTGTTCAATTCCCACATATGAGTGAGAACATACGGTGTTGGGTTTTCGGTCCTTGTGATAGTTTGCTGAGAATGATGGTTTCCAGCTTCATCCATGTCCCTGCAAAGGACATGAACTCATCTTTTTTTATGTCTGCATAGTATTCCATGGTGTATACGTGCCACATTTTCTTAATCCAGTCTATCATTGATGGACATTTGAGTTGGTTCCAAGTCTTTGCTATTGTGAATAGTGCTGCAGTAAACATATGTGTGCATGTGTCTTTATAGTAGAATGATTTATAATCCTTTGGGTATATACCCAGTAATGGGATTGCTGAGTCAAATGGTATTTCTAGTTCTAGAACCTTAAGGAATCACCACACTGTATTCCACAAGGTTTGAAGTAATTTACACTCCCACCAACAGTGTAAAAGTGTTCCTATTTCTCCACATCTTCTCCCGCACCTGTTGTTTCCTGACTTTTTAATGATCGCCATTCTAACTGGTGTGAGATGGTATCTCATTGTGGTTTTGATTTGCATTTCTCTGATGACCAGTGATGATGAGCATTTTTTCATGTGTCTGTTGGCTGCATAGATGTCTTCTTTTGAGAAGTGTCTGTTCATATCCTTTGCCCACTTTTTGATGGGGTTGTTTGCTTTTTTTTGGAAATTTGTTTGCATTCTTTGTAGATTCTGGATATTAGCCCTTTGTCAGATGGGTAGATTACAAAAATTTTCTCCCATTCTGTAGGTTGCCTGTTCACTCTGATGGTAGTTTCTTTTGCCATGCAGAAGCTCTTTAGTTTAATTAGATCCCATTTGTCTATTTTGGCTTTTGTTGCCATTGCTTTTGGTGTTTTAATCATGAAGTACTTGCCCATGCCTATGTCCTGAATGGTATTGCCTAGGTTTTCTTCTAGGGTTTTTATGGTTTTAGGTCTAACACTGAAGTCTTTGATTTATCTTGAACTAAATTTTGTATAAGGTGTAAGGAAGGGATCCAGTTTCAGCTTTCTACACATGGCTACCCAGTTTTCCCAGCACCATTTATTAAATAGGGAATCCTTTCCCCATTGCTTGTTTTTGTCAAAGATCAGATGGTTGTAGATGTGTGGTGTTAGTTCTGAGGCCTCTGTTCTGTTCCATTGGTCTATATATCTGTTTTGGTACCAGTACCATGCTGTTTGGTTACTGTAGCCTTTTAGTATAGTTTGAAGTCAGGTAGCATGATGCCTCCAACTTTGTTATTTTTGCTTAGGATTGTCTTGGCAATGCAGCCTCTTTTTTGGTTCCATATGAACTTTAAAGTAGTTTTTTCCAATTTTGTGAAGAAAGTCATTGGTAGCTTGATGGGGATGGCATTGAATCTATAAATTACTTTGGTTAGTATGGCCATTTTCACAATATTGATTCTTCCTATCCATAAGCATGGAATATTCTTCCATTTGTTTGTGTCCTCTTTTATTTTGTTGAGCAGTGGTTTGTAATTCTCCTTGAAGAGGTCCTTCACATCCCTTGAAAGTTGGATTCCTAAGTATTTTATTCTCTTTGTAGCAATTGTAAATGGGAGTTCACTCATGATTTGGCTGTTTGTCTGTTAATGGTGTATAGGAATTCTTGTGATTTTTGCACATTGATTTTGTATCCTGAGACTTTGCTGAAGTTGCCTATCAGCTTAAGGAGATTTGGGGCTGAGACCCTGGAGTTTTCTAAATATACAATCATGTCTTCTGCAAACAGGGACCATGTAACTTCCTCATTTCCTAATTGAATACCCTTTATTTCTTTCTCTTTCTTAACTGATTGCCCTGGCCAGAACTTCCAACTCTATGTTAAATAGCAGTGGTGAGAGAGGGCATGCTTTTCTTGTGCCAGTTTTCAAAGGGAATGCTTCCAGTTTTTGCCTATTCAGTATGATGTTGGCTGTGGGTTTGTCATAAATATCTCTTATTATTTTGAGATACATTCCAACAGTACATAGTTTATTGAGAGTTTTTAGCATGAAGCGCTGTTGAATTTTGTTGAAGGTCTTTTCTGCATCTATTGAGATAATCATGTGGTTTTTTCGTTGGTTCTGTTTATGTGATGTATTACATTTATTGATTTGTATAGGTTGAACCAGCCTTGCATCCTGGGGATCAAGCCCACGTGATCATGGTGGATAACCTTTTTGATGTGCTGCTGGACTCAGTTTGCCAGTATTTTATTGATGATTTTCACATCGATGTTCACCATGGATATTGGTCTAAAATTATCTTTTTCTTGTTGTGTCTCTGCCAGGCTTTGGTATCAGGATGATGTTGACCTCACAAGATGAGTTAGGGAGGATTCCCTCTTTTTCTATTGATTGGAATAGTTTCAGAAGGAATGGTACCAGCTCCTCTTTGTACCTCTGGTAGAATTTGGCTCTAAATCCGTCTGGTCCTGGACTTTTTTTGGTTGGTAGGCTATTAATTATTGCCTCAATTTCAGAGTCGGTTATTGGTCTATTCAGAGATTCAACTTCTTCCTGATTTAGTCTTAGGAGGGTGTATATGTACAGGAAATTATCCATTTCTACTAGATTTTCTAGTTTATTTGCATAGAGGTGTTTATAGTATTCACTGATGGTAGTTTGTATGTCTGTGGGATCAGTGGTGACATCCCCTTTATCATTTTTTATTTTGTCTATTTGATTCTCACATACAAAGACTCACATAGGCTCAAAATAAAGGGATGCAGGATGATCTAACAAGCAAATGGAAAGCAAAAAAAAGCAGGGGTTGCAATCCTAGTCTCTGATAATACAGACTTTAAACCAAAAAGATTAAAAGAGACAAAGAAGGCCATTACATAATGGTAAGTTAACAATCTTAAAGAGAGTGATTACCCTGAATGTTTTCAGTAAGTCCTACTTAATCACAATTGTCTTTATTGGAGAGAGGCAGAGGGAGATTTTACTATAATAGTGTCAAAGCGATGCAGTGTGAGAAAGATTTGCTCAGTCATTGCTTGCTTTGGAGATGGAGGAAGGAAATCTTTGGCCAAGGAATACAGGTGATACAGGTGGTTTCTAGAAGTTGGGAAAGGAAAAGTAACAACTGTTCTGTGGAATCTTCCAGAAGATATGCAGCCCTGCCAAAAAAATGCTGTTAGAAGTCTGATATCCAGACCTGTAAGAGAATAGATTTGTTTTTACATCAAATAAGTTTGTGGAAATTTGTACTGCAGCAATGAGAAACTAATACAGTAATATAAGTAGAAATAAGAACAGAAATATTATATATGCATATACACGTTCACACAAATTTACACATCAAAAATAAGATCAAATGTAATCTATATAACAAGAAAAGGTGACATCAGCAAAAAGTGGAATACATAATTTCAAAATTCTTCACCTACATAAAAGCAATGAGAAAAGTGAGAAAATAACCAGAATAACCTTTTTTAGAACTCTGGAAACCTGTCAAACTCGTGCAGCAATCCAGCAAGTATTTATTTATGAAAAATAGCTTAATATTATTAACAAGAGTGAGGTCTGTAGTATTTTAATTTGCATTTTTTCCCAGCTCCATGGTAGCCCTGAAAACCAAAACCTCAGAAGCCACCAGAGGGGACAGAATGTGATTGCAGCTCCTTAAATGTCACATTCCCAGAAAATTGTCAGCATTTCATCTGTCTGACGGTTCCCTTGAAAACCACACTTATGTTTATTTGACTGAAATCTAAGCTTATCCAGTGGAAGGAGCTTTTTAGCTGAGGGAGTTTGTCCAAAACAATTAGAGGCAATTGTTGAACTTTGTGGCTGCCTAAGTCAGTGGATAACATTTGGGGCAAACAATAATAAAACTTTTTTGTTTTCATTTTTAAGTTGAGAAATGAAATCCTCATAGGAGTTTTTCTGTTTGTTTTTCCTTTTTTTCCCTTTGCTTTTTTCTTAGAGAAGAGGAATTGATTTAATACAGTATATTTTGGGGCCAATATATCATTCACTCAGACCACAGCCATAGGTACTTTCAAAAACTCCTGAATATCCTTATGAATCTGGAATACCTGTGTAAGGCTGTGCACATATACAGTGCTTAGCACATGCTCAGGAAAACCTGAGAAGGAACAAAGCTCCCACCTTTAGCTAAATCTGAGGATCTTTAAGCAGGAAGTGAAGACTAAGGCAGAGTTGCCAACTTCCCAGCTGACTTAGCCTCAACACACAAACAGTGTTCTTACACTAGAACTGAGAGGCTTATTGGGTTCAGACATTTAATTTTTTGCTGACCAATACACTAACGGAACAGAGACTTTGGTTAACAAAAAATTAAAAACAGACAAACACAAAATGCAGAATTAGTTTACAAAAGCCACCAAACAAACAACAACAAATCCTGGGAAGAGATGACAGTCTAATTTTGAGAAGTGCCACATTATATAATTTAAAATACTTCATTTTCAACACAAAGTATGAGAAATGCAAATAAGAAAGTGACATATACACAGAAAATAAAAGTAATAAATATATAGCAAAAGACAACAAAAACATATACAAAGAAGGGCAGAGAGTTGAAAAAAAGCATAAGAGAAAAAATCCTGCAAATCTAAAGCCGCTTGTATTGACTAAAACATGAAAAATAACTATCATTTGAAAGAAATATTCCTAAAATATATTGCAACAAAAGTTTATAAATAAAAATAACTCACAAAGGTACATCATAAAATACAACCATGGAGGAGGCAGAAGTTGCAATAATACATCTCTTTTTGGCAAATTAAATTACCTCTTAACTAGTGTTTTTTTAATCTACTCTTCTTGGTTTTCAATCCATTCTGTATGCAGTAGATTCAATGATATCTAAAATACAAATATGATTATGTCTCATTATTTAAAATATAAAGAGAAGCTTCCCATTGTCTTTTGGATAATAAAGAATATCTTTAATCTTCATCTTAGGCTAGATCTGTATAACAAGTCCCTGGATATCAGTCGGATCTTGTCTTACACCACCCCTTGCATTTCACTGACATAGTTTTCTACATTTCTGAAAAGACTTTTCTCTTTTTACTGCTCAATACTTCCTTCATCTGCAAAGTCTGTAATTAATATAATTAATGTCTTCTCCGTCTCCCGCCACTCCCAACCCTTTGCCCCTCTAGGCCCTTTTTGAGCTCCATGTAAACAAAAGAACCATACTGTACTGTTCATTACTTTTCATGCATGAATGACAAATTTTATAGCATGACATCTAAAACTGTGAGAATGTGCCTTGCAGACCTCCAACAATAGCTTAATTGATGAAGAGTCATAACTGCTATGCTCTCCAATCTATCACATTTGTGCTGAGGCCACACTTCACACAGTGTTCCCAGGTGATATCTAAACATAACAGGTATACTAAGACAAGCCCTTCTCTGGGAGAAATAGAACTCTGGAAGCTGTTGGATTAATGACTACCTGACAAATCTTGCTGAAACTTCCTGCTTGGTTATGTGGGATGCCTCCACTCAATCTTCTTTCCCTCTCTCTATCACATGGGTCTCATTTCCATGGTCTGATGACTATCACAGCCTTTTCTGGCTTTCTTCACATATTTATTTTCATAGATATCTCCCCTAACAAAGTCCTTGCACATTTAATTTAATCTTGGTATTTGCCTCTCAGAGGACACAGACAAATATGCAACTGGTGTTGGAGCACTGAGTATTTGCAAAGCACATATAATTTACCTTTTAAAAAGGATGGCTTTTCATGTTTGCTCTGCATTTTGTCTAAGATGTGGTACTTTGGATGCTTTGCATTTGCTAATAATGACAAAATAATGGTGTATGCCTGCCAGGTTAGTCACTTTCTTCGAATCCAAAGGTCATACCAAATATTTCTATTACTGCTAAACTAGCATTATGTAATGGTTAATCTTATATGTCAACTTTAGTGGACCATGAGGTACCCAGATTAAACAGTTTCTGGGTCTTTCTGTGAGGATGTTTCCAGATGAGATTAGCATTTGACTCAGCGGGCCCAGTAAAGCAGCAGATTGCCCTCCCCAATGTAGTTGGGCATCATCTAATCCATTGAAAGCTTGAATAGAACAAATGTCTGAGAAAGAAGGATTTTGCCCCTTTTTTTTTTCTGCCTCACTGGTTGGGCTGGATTATCTCATTTCACCTTCTTCTGCCTGCAGACTGGGACTCGTACCACTGACTTCTCTGTTTTCAGAGCCTTTTGACTAGAATTAAAGAAACCACCAGTTCTCATAGGTCTTCAGCTTGCAGACTTCTCATGGTCATGGGACTTCTCAGGCTCCATAACTGTGTGGGCCAATTCGTCATTGTATAGCTTTTTCTTTTCTCTATATATAGTATATAAAGAGAAAATGATATCCCATTGGTTCTATTTATCTGGAAAATCCTGACTAATATACATAACCATCTTTTTGTCAAATAAAGTCCCTTGGAAGTTTAAACAAAGCCAGAGATCTGCTCTCTTGACATCCTCTTTCTCCCAGCCTTCTTGCAAACCTCTAAGGGTTTCAGAGACATGGTGAGAAGGACGGTGATCTACTAAATATAAACTGTATTTTTCTAGAAAACCTCTAAACAATTGTTCCATTTTTTTATCCTACAATCACCAATTAAGTTTAAAAATAGAAGAAAATTTGAAAAATTATATACTGTTATTCTCATAATAGAGACCTAAGTTTTTAGATTGTTGGATTCTTCCTGTGTTCCCCTGTAACCTTTAATTTTTGAAAAAACACAGGACATAAACATAATATTATTTTTATTTTGTTTTTTGCTAACAAGATTCTTTAGCCAATGTTATAGCTTGTGATATTTGAGTCTTAATCTTAATGCATCATTAGTTTCTTAAGAAGGCATTAGAAGTAGTAAGAAAGGAGGAAGAAACACTGCAAAAGTGAAACAATATTCTCATTCACAATTTGGGGCTCATTGAGCTTGGCGACAATCATTGAGCTAGGTGACAATCAGAGATTGTGTGGGCATTCTGCCATCAGCATGAGGAGGTCAATTCCTGAGTGAGTTCAGAGCCAGCCCCACTAGTAGTGTAGAATATGGAAGGTACATGATGTATGAGAGCCAGCATTAAGAATTGAAATTGAGAAAGCCTCTGATTTTATTCATGGCTGGATAAGATAGTAGTTATGTTGAGGATGAGAAGGTGGAGGGGTTGGATGATTGAAGATTACAAAATGAGTTGATATAAATTCTCAAGAATTATCTACCAATTAGCACTGGTTTTTAACTATTATCTACCAAAGGTTGGGAAGAATTTGAGGAAAAAATGGAGCATTTTGAATCATAACTATGAGCTTGTGTATAATATTTATTTTAAAAAATCTCAAAGCAGTTGGTTGGACTCTATATGTGCTTCCTTGCTCATGCAGAATTAGCTTGTGGGATCATGGGACATGAACCTTTGGGACAAGTTCTGGAAATGATGAGATAGGTGAGAAAAGGGATGAAGGGTTTATATATGTGTTGTTATGTTCCAAAACCTCTGAGTTCTAGGACTCTTGTTGCTGAAAGTAAAAAAAGACAGAAAGAATGGAAGGAAGGAAGGAAGGAAGGAAGGAAGGAAGGAAGGAAGGAAGGAAGGAAGGAGGAGGGAAGGAAGCAAGGGAGGGAGGGAGGAAGGAAATTAGGAAAAAAGTAAATGTCTGTATCAAGTTTTGTGTGTATTACTTTTATTTTTCTAACAACTTCTAGCCAGAGATAAACTTGTTGCTCATTTGTACTTACAAGTAGGTTCTCAGGTTAGCAAGGATAATATTAGCAAGGTCAGGCAAAATGCAAAGAGCCGTGAAGAGAGTCCACAATAAGCTTTATGTGAACTCTAATTTGTGTCATGATTGATTCTGCAAAATATGTTATAGTTCATACACAACTTTTTCTTACTGCTTTCCCCGGTTAAAAACTTAAGTTGCAACATCCTAACTCTGTCGTGAATGACACTATTTGCTTTAGTAGCATAATTCAGGAGCAGGTAGTCCTTCTAAATCCTATCCATTATTTTTCCATTAGTAAAATACCAAAGAGTCTAATTATAAGGTAGTCTTTTTAAAAATATGGTCTTATAGATGCTAAAAGCTTTGTTCAATAATATGTCTCTTAAGATGTTATAAGTAATCTAAATTCATCTGTGTGAAAGTAAAATTGTTATTTATTCACTTTACAATCTCAAATACTATTTTATTAGGTTTATCTCTTTTCTTTCTAAGGATTAAGAATGTAATGTCATCAAGGTAATGAAAGTTTTCCATCCACATTTTAAACAAAAACACAAATGCCAAGTTTTATGAAATTGATTCCATTATGTAAATAAATAGTTTTTTAAAATATAAAATAATCATTACAAAGACTATCACTTTTCATTAAAAACTTAGTGTATAATTCCTTTAAAAATATACATTTTTCAAGGCATACAAAGCTAAGGTTGACCCCAGTTAAAAATAAATTCAAATGAGGAGAATTTCCGTATTTTGGATGGAATCTGTGGTTAAAATTATGATAGCATCTTTGACTCAGCTTTAAAAATAATAATTATTAAAATCAAATTGTCACAGCTTTCTGTTTTGTTTGTAATTAGTGATAAATATTCTAATTCTCATAAGTAAGTTATGATGAAAATCAATTCTCTCATAGCTCCCACTCTCAGAAACTGGACTGGCTTGGATCAAACAGTACCAGCAATCTTTAAAACTTTTTTAATGTAACAGGGGGAGGAATAATTTTCTTTGTCCTCAATTCAATTTTGCCATCCTTACAAAGTGTGTCACATTGTTATTGGTTGCTTCAGGAAGAAAATAATTAATAATATTCATATTGATTGTAAGTTTATCAGAAAAGTTCCTTCAAAGAAATTCTGCAGTGTTTAAATTTTTCTGTAAATTTCAGCCTTCCATGAAGCAGGAAAATCTTTGTCAGTCTCAATTGCAGCCTACAGAAATAATTCATATAATTTTGAAAATTTTGCATAGTTTGCTACCCATAATCTTATCTTTCAAAGTGAGAGCTCAGCAAAAATAGGCCCTATTTTCAAGACCATCTATTATGATTATGGCAAGGCTTTGATTGAATCATATAGGTTAAAACCCAGGTAAGCCTGTTACTGAATGAACACTTTTCTATTTCTAAAAGTGAATTTTTTCTCAAAAAAGCAAAAATTCTTCCCAAAGTTCCAACTTGTGGTTCCATATTACTGATATGTTAATAACTTTTAATACAACTACATGACATATCCTACCCCCATCTCTTTATAAAATATGTGAAAGAGTACCCACTTGAGACCTTGCCTCTCTCTCAAAGAGTTGATAACTGTCATGTCAAAAAAACAAATTTCTAAGAATTACTGGATAAGTCTTCTGCAACAATGACAGTTCAAGTGGAAATAACATGTCCTGGAGAAAGGTACCCTTTTGTTATAGTAATTCGGATGCATCGCCAAGTTTCATGGATGCTCCAACTGTGGATAGGGGTAGGACTTTATTTCTTATGTTAGATATTTTGCTAAATAAAGAAAATGTTCTTAATTTTAAAGGTAGCATTGGCCTTTGCAGTTTTTCAAATGAACACACAAACTATTTTTCATACCATTACTGTATACACAAAGAAGTACCAGGAATTGCTAGTATTTAAAGTGTCATTACCTTAATATAGATGAACAAATATTAGAAGATCTTTAGGGAAAGACATTATTTGTCAAAAAATTAAAAGAATATTTAAAAAGCTACAAACTATTTAAAAGAAGACAGGCAATCCAATAGAAAAAAAAGTTGAATAGATATTTCATGTAAAATGATATCCTAAGAGCCAATAATCATTAAACATTAAAAAATTGCTCCACTCAAATAGTCATTGGTGACACCACTACACATATGCCCCCTAAATTGCTAAAATTAAAGAGATTGACAATAACAAGTTCTAATAAGAATGCAGATCAACTGGAACTGAAATACACATATATTGATGATGGGAAATTAGAGCTGTAATCTTTTTGGAACACTACGTATTATATATTAAATGTGAACACATGCATATGCTCTGATACACACACACACACACACACACACACACACAAACATATATAATACACACCCGACAGAATTGTGTGCATATGTGCTTCAAAGCACAGGAATGTTCAAAAATGTTTATGACATCATTGTTTTGAATAGCCTCAAATTAGAGACAGCCTATATATCTGTCTTAGTCTGCTCAGGCTGCCATAAAAAACACCATAGACTGAATGGTTTAAACAACAAAAATTTATTTTTTTACATTTCTGGAGGCTGGAATATTCAAATGAAGGTTCCAGAAGGATTCAGTCTCTGACTCTCTTGGCTCGCAGACTGCTGCCTTTTTGCTATCTCCTCACATTGGAGAGACGCACACACACACACACACACACACACACACACAAAGAGAAAAAATCTCTCTTTCTGTTCTTCTAAGGCCACAGTCCTATTAGATTAGAACCCTGCATTTATCTTCATTATTAAATGACCCTTCAGATAAAATCACATTAGGGATTAATGCTTCAGCATAGGCATTTTGAGCACACCGATTCAATCCATACCATTCTTTATGTCTAAATAGTCAGTTTCTTTAGAAAAACTAAATATTTTTCACACACCTATACACAGAACACACACACTTAAATTCTATTAGGTTATGGCACTAATGATTTTATATTATCTGTCTCTTAAATAATAACATTTCTGATTACCCAAAATGTGTTTGAAATGAAATAATACTTTAATTATCTAATTTAGCAAAATAATACATACTCTCCATAGAGACAGTTTCAACATGACAAGGAGATTGAAAAATAATATAATCATTTTATCAGAATAACATATTTAAACCTATTCTTGGTTCCAAATTTTAAGCTGATTCTTTCCTTTCTGGTCCTGTAACTTATTTTGTGTTAGGATCCTATTTCTATGATGCTTTCTACCCATAATTGCTTTCTCATGTTTGGTTGAACATTGATTGAGTTTTATCTTCCCTTTTAAAATGACCTTATTTCTCTGATAATCTCTGTGCTTAAAAGATTGTTCTGGGCATCTGGCATATTTGTGTTGATGTTTAATTCTATACTAGTGGAGGCATACTGCAGACCAAGATTCTGTAAACACAAGGTAAGTGTCCATAAAGTGAGGTCATGAATTGACAGAGTTAGGCAAAATAAGTGAGTTGTTAGAGCAAAGATTGAACTCTGTATCTCTTTTCTTAATTTAATATATCCTATGCTCAAGGTGGAAATTTAACAGCACTGTTATATTTTATTGTTTGTTATATATAGAATAGGTACATGATGTATGGCTGCTTGGTTATACGTATAAGTAGACCCTGTTGGGCTTTTTTCTTTATAATATTTTTCTACCTTGAAATATCCCATAGTTTCCTTTAAATATGTCTGAAGATAACATAAAATCAAAGTAGTCCAGACAATTGGAACAAAGAGATAAACGTGCATAGCTCAAAAGCAGTGTCAAATATATCCTTAAACATATTTCACCAGTATCTGTTACTGCCTGTTTTGCGCAGTTCATTGTTCAAGCACTAGAAATGTCTTCCTACAGGTGTAGAAGTTGAAGTTTTTTGGGCAATTGAACACTGCATTTTCACAGCAAGTTGACATCAAATTCTTTAACTTAGGTCTGTGTTTTGTAATGTGGTACATGAGGAACATTTACTGTTCAATAGCCCTCAAAACTTTTACTTCCTTTTGGATAGAAAGCCATAATGCAAAAATGTCAGTAAGACCTGACACCAGTCCCAGAGTCCCCTGTATAAATAGTGTTTGCAACTGTGCAGCAGAAATAGTAAACATCATGTTCCATGCAGGTAAGCAGGTGAAACATAGATGGCAAGGAAAGTGTCTCCTTATTTGAAGATCTAAAACATGGACATTAAAGTTGTTATTGTGGATTTGGAGTTTTCGAGAATAATCTTTTCTTTCTGAAGAACAGAGCTATTGTTAGCTTCCTGAAGAGACAAAAAAAACCTCGAGATGATTCATGGATAAGAGAGGAAATATGAATCAATGCTGAATCATTATCAAGCTTCAAATCATCATCTTCTCCAAATGTACACGTCACCCTTTACTCCCTCGTTCCTTCCTAACAAATCATGACTGCCTTCTTCTACCTTAGACAATGAGTACTCATCTTCACTCTCATCCATGCCAAAAAGGAAAGTGAAACTGTTCTTCTGAGATACACTCCTCTCCCTCATCATTCATATTGTTTGTCTTAGTTACTCTAATTCTGATGTGTTTCAAATATCTTCTCCTCTCTACAATCCATCATCAGCGCCATCAATGAGACATTCCTCATCTCTCACCTGGACCACCAGAATATATATGATAGCTGGTCTTTATAACAGCTTTTTAGGTTTGCTTCTCTTCAGAAAATCTATAATGCTACCATTAAGGTCCTATTTCTTAAATGCATTTTTTAAAGTTAATATTACTGAATTGTTTAAATGCACCAATGACATTTTATTGTTTAAGATAAAGCCTGAGCTTACATTCACAGTGTACATGTTTGTTCATGATTTTATATGATATCAAAGGCCTACTTCTGTTTCCTCACACCTGGCTTTGGATTCTAATTATCATTAGCTTCATGTTATTTCCTGATCATAACATACTTCTAAACTTATGAAGAATCTGTCCAGGGTCTGCAATATTAGATTAGGTTTTAGCTTCAAGAAACAGAAACTATTCTAGCTATTTTAAAGAGATATAATGCAGAAATATAGTAAGTGTTTACACAATCACTGGCAGTGTCAAATAAGGCTTTAGGTCATGCTTCACTACTGTCCTTTTCTTTTCCTGGAATGTACTCCTCTATTCACTTGATACACTCATGTTATCTTTCAAAAGTCATCCCAAGTATCAATCATCTGACACCTGCCCTGACTTCCTCATAACTGCTTGTACACACCTTCTCAGTACCTATTGCACTTTTTGATAATTTCCACACTAAATTATTGCATATTTATTTCAGACCAAATTATTTTATATTTGTTTCCCACATTCAGAATATAGCTCCCACACTCAGAATACAGCTTAAATTTTATTCTCTTTGAGCATGCATACTATTGTTTTTCAACTACACACATAATATACCTTTGGCATGAATGAATGCCTAAATGAAAATAGAATTAATTAAATGTGTTAAATGTGTATTGAGGCAACCATCAAATAAGTATGTGGCACAATCCAAAGTCAATAGCCATTGGCTGTTTTTTTAAATAAGAAATGCATTGTAAAAAATAGAATCCATAGTTTATAAGCTTACAACTTGAATTTTTTTAAATGTGAGATATACTATTTATTAATCATGCACAAAAACAAAGACTATGACATTTGAGTGGTGAAAAAGTATTTAGTCAAAAAATTTGAATGTTACCTATGTATAAGTCTAATCTATAAGACTTCATAATGATCAAACCTTGAAAAATAAAACATACTAAATGGTATGCTTCTTGAGAAATATCACTACTTGTTCTTTATTTGCCCTGTGTATTAGTCTTCATGCTGCTGATAAAGACATACCTGAGACAGAGTAATTTAAAAAAAAACAAAACTAAAAGTTTAATGGACTCCCAGTTCTATGTCGCTGGGGAGGCCTCACAATCAAGGCAGAAGGCAAAAGACATGTCTTACATAGCACCAGACAAGAGAGAAAGAGAGCCAAGTGAAAGGGGTTTCCTCTATAAAACTATCAGATCTCATGAGACTTATTTACCACCATGAGAACACTATGGGGAAAACTCCTTCCATGATTCAATTGTCTCCCACCAGGTCCCTCTCACAACATGTGAGAATAGTGGCAGCTACAATTCAAGCTGGGATTTGGATGGGGACACAGACAAGACATATCATTTTGCCCCTGGCCCCTCCCAAATTTCGTATCTTTACATTTCAAAACCAATCATGCCTTCCCAACAGTCCCCCCAAAGTCTTAACTCATTTCAGCATTAATGCAAAAGTCCACAGTCCAAAGCCTCATCTGAGACAAGGCAAGTCTCTTCCACCTATGAGCCTGTAAAATCAAAAGCAAGTTAGCTACCTGGAAGATACAATGGTAGTACAGGCATTAGGTAGATACACCTGCTCCAAATGGGAGAAATTGGCCAAAATGAAGGGACTACAGGCCCCATGCAAGTCCATAATATAGTGGGGCAGTCAAATCTTAAGGCTGCAAAATGATCCCCTTTGACTCTGTGTCTCATATCCAGGGCATGCTGATGCAAGAGGTGGGTTCCCATGGTATTGGGCAGCTTTGCTCCTTTGGCTTGGCAGGTTGCAGCCTCCCTCCTGGCCACTTTCATGGGCTGGCATTGAGTGTCTACAACTTTTCCAGGTGCACAGTGCAAGCTGTCAGTGAAGCTACCATTCTGGATTCTGGAGGACAGTGGCCCTTTTCTCTCAGCTCCACTAGGCCATGCCCCAGTAGGGACTCTGTGTGGGGGCTCCAACCCCACATTTCCCTTCTGCACTGCCCTAGCAGACATTCTCCATAAGGGCCCTGCCCCTGCAGCAAATTTTGCCTGGACATTCAGACATTTTCATACATCCTCTGAAATATAGGCAAAGGTTCCCAAACCTCAATTTTTGACTTCTGTGCACTCACAGGCTCAACACCATGTGGAAGCTGCCAAGGTTTGGGGCTTGCCCCCTCTGAGACCATGGTTTGAGCCCTTTGAGCCATGGTTAGAGTGGCTGGACACCATAGGCTGCTCACAGCAGGCAGCCCCGGGTCTGGCCCACAAAACCATTTTTTCCTCCTAGGCCTCTGGGCCTGTGACGGAAAAGCCTGCCACAAAGGTCTCTGCCATGCTCTGGAGACATTTTCCCTATTGTCTTGGAAATTAACTTTTGGCACCTCATTACTTATGCAAGTATCTGCACATGGCTTGAATTTCTCTTCAGAAAATG
Organism: Homo sapiens; assembly: GCF_000001405.40. Taxonomy (NCBI): domain Eukaryota; kingdom Metazoa; phylum Chordata; class Mammalia; order Primates; family Hominidae; genus Homo; species Homo sapiens. The sequence continues at coordinate 73,424,859 of NC_000012.12, forward strand.
GGATTTTCTTTTCTATCACATTGTCAGGCTGCAAATTTTCTGAACTTTATGCTCTGCATCCCTTATAAATCTGAATGTTTTTAACAGCACTCAAGTCACCTCTTGAATGCTTTGTTGCTTAGAATTTTCTTCTGCAGATACCCTAAATCATCTCTCTCAAGGTCAAAGTTCCACAAATCTCTAGGGCAGGGGCAAAATGCTACTAGTCTCTTTGCTGAAACATAACAAGAGTCACCTTTGCTCCAGTTCTCAACAAGTTCCTCATCTCCATCTGAGACCAACTCAGCCTAGTTCATTGTCCATACCATCAGCATTTTGGTTAAAGTCATTCAACAATTCTCTAGGGCGTTCCAAACTGTACATTTTCCTGTCTTCTGAGCCCTCCAAACTGTTCCAACCTCTGTCTGTTACCCAGTTCCCCAGTCACTTTCCCAATTTTGGGTATCTTTTAAGCAGCGCCCCAGTCTACTGGTACCAGTTTACTGTATTAGTCCATTTTCACACTGCTGATAAAGACGTACCAGAAACTGGGTAATTTTATATATTAAAAAAATTTAATGGACTCACAGCTCCATGGCTGGAGAGGCTTCACAATCAAGGCAGATGATGAAAGGCATGTCTTTCATGGTGCCGGACAAGAGAGAATGAGAGCCAAGTAAAAGGGCTTCCCCCTTATTAAAACATCAGATCTCGTGAGACTTATTCACTATCATGAGAACTGTATGGGGAAACTGCTCTGATGATTCAATTATATCCAGCTGGGTCCCTTCCATAACAAGTAGGAATTGTGGCAGCTACAACTCAAGATGAGATTTGGGTGAGGACACAGCCAAACCATATCACCCTGCATATTTAATACTATACCTGACACCCATTAAACCCTAAATACCTAACCTTTGAATAAATTAATAAAAAGTATAAATTATTAAGAACTGTAATGGAACAATGTTCAATGACCAGTTAAAGACATTGATTTTTTTAAACACTATTGCTGGGTTTGGTTCTTTTTAAAATTTATTTTGTCTATTTTAATTTTATTTTTATTTCACTAGGCAGTATGTTTGAGGCCATTCCTTATTATACTAATATTTATTAATCTAGTAGAGCACTATTTATCAATTTGTAAAATAAAATTCAGTCAAAGATTTTAGAGGCCATATTGATATTTTCAGAGTATCTTAGCTTGAGCTACTATAACAAATTACCATAAGCTGGGTGATTTATACAATAAACTTTTATTTCTCACAGTTATGGAGGCTGTAATGTTTAAGGTCAGGGTGCCCACCAATTCACTTCTGGGGAGGGCACTCTTCCTGCATTGTAGATGGCTGTCTTTTTGTAGTCTCACATGGTGGAAAGAGAGAGAGAAATCATCTCTCTGATATCTCTTTGTAAAAGGGCACCAATTCCATTAATGAGGGCTCGACTTTCATGACCTAATTAACTCCCAAAGTCCTCTCCCTCCAAATATCAACACATTGGGGATTTATACTCTTGCATATGAATTTTGGGGGTACACATTCAATCCATAGCAGAGAGGCAAAGGGAGATTGAACTTGTGTTGAACAAAATATAAAAGAAATGAGAAAATATGGCTTTAAGGAAGGTCTGGAAGCATAAAATAATATGTTTTCTGAATTTAATTTCAGAAAATATTTCTAATGTATTCAAAGACAAGCAAATGAAGTGTACAAACAATAAAAAATTTGGTCAATTTAAAATGCAACCAGTGAGCTGTTGGTATCTAACATATTTCTGACTCCTTTTTGGTACCATCCTAGAGCTGATTTTGAGAAAGCAACTTGGTACAGTACACATAAGTTTATATATATTACATAATGTTTGTAGTAAACTGTGTTAGAGCACGGAAGTAGAGGTTGAATGCAAAATGAAAGTAATTATTTTATGTTCACCCTTAGGTTTGAATACAAGTTATTTTGTTCACTTTTCTCTATGGCCCATATATTTGAACGTAATGAGCACTATAAAATACATCCATTCTTAAGGACCAGTTCAATAGGGGATAATTTTCTGAGAACTTCAGCCAAAGGGAGTTCTTAAATACAAAGTGATATATTGGTTTATGAAATCTGAGAGTTTCGTGGGTTTTTAGATACCCAAATTGTTTCTAAGGAACTAAAATTGTCTTTTCAATGAACTACTTTATTGACTTGATCTTCATAACTTATTAGACTTATTTTCCTTGAGAGAAAAAAGAAAGAGCTTGCTCACACATTTTTCTCTTCTCAGATTTAACAGCTCTAATTAGGCTAATAATCTCTCTTTATGGGAATTGCAAAGAAAATGGGGACAATGCAACTCCAAAGAAGTATTATTAAAATGTCAGCCTCAAAAAAAGCCATGTATTTTAAAGCATTCAGTTTGCTCGTTTCAGCATTACTTCCTCATATCTATCTTACTAATAGAACTGTCTTTTTGGTGCTTATTTATATCCTTATAATAGAAGAAATATATCTATATCTAATGTGTTATTTTGTAGACTTACTATTTTAAATTAAAATTTAACTAACTAATGAATGGCAGATAGGTATACTTGCCAAAAGCAACGTTACATAGGTATAGTATCTTGAATTTATTATTATTTTTGTTTTTGTTACCTGAGAGTTTACAACAGAGATCTAAAAATGGAATGTGTCAAGAAAAATAAATAAATAATGTGCATTCTTGAAGAGCTTAATATAGGCATGAATCAGAAATATAAAAGACCATTATAACGAAATACTGTAGCAGGAAATTATACCAGTTGTTATGTAACTATGGTCATTATAACATCAGGTTTGAGAAAAACTTCATCTAGGTGGGGAAAAAAAGATAGTGAAGTTTGTTGAAAGAAATGGCACTCTTTCAGAATGAGAAGAAAACAATTTCATATTTTTTGAGTATGTGAATGAAAGAAAGGAAACATAAAAGTAGTGATCACATTTTATATAGAAGAGAGAGACAGTATTAGGTTTCATAAGGAAGATTGATTTGAATTAATCAGATAACAATGTCTATGTAGATGAAACAGTATATATTGTGTCAAATTTGGCTTTATAATTTAATTAGTGTTAATTATTAATATATCTTCCTTCATATTAGTGCATATTTATTTTATTAGTATAGTTGGAAAATTTGTAAGAAATATCAATTAGCAAAAAAGAACTTTCTTTTAAAAGAAAACATCTTGCAGAAAAGGGACTACTTTTATACTGAGCAGCAGAAAGAATCATGTTTTTGTAAGAAAGGTTTTGTTATTTTACTGGAGAAAATTATTATATTTTTATAACATATCTATTAGCATTTTGGCTTTAGCTAAATATGACAATAAATGAAAAAATGAATCTAAATAAAAGAAAATGGCAACTTAAGCTTTGTTAAATTCCAAAGTAAATATAAAATTAGTATTCATTCAGACTTTTGAGATATCTTGGTTTTTTGGTCTGCCATTCAAAAAATTCAATGAAGTGCCTGAAACTAATGTCCTACATGACATCTTATTATTGATGTTTTTAAAATATCTTTCTAGATGTATGAGTTGAACTATAAGCCAGCTAAATTATCTTTTACATCATAAATCTGTAATGATGAGTGTGTTACAGGCAGAAAGAAGTATATATTATATCTAATATTATATGACCCAAAATGGTAAGTCTCAGAGCTAATGCATTTAAAAAAAGTTGATAATCTAAACTGTAAAGAATCCTTAGAATGTGTACATAAGCAAAATGAACCCATTATGATATAATTATATTTATATTAATGTTATTGTTTGCTTACATTCATAAATTCCTGAAAATTTGTTTTTTAATTAATTAGGATATATTTATACTATAATGATGTGTTAATATAAAATAAAGTATAACATTAGTTACTTAGAAACACTTCTATTAACAGTGCAGAACTCTAGGGTATAAATATATATGATCCGTGAAACTTCCATTAGTTAAACATTTATTCTAATTATTTTAAGATGGATGTTTCTTGAAAGGTTGAAGTTTTTCAGCTTCAATGTTTGAAGACACTAATGGAACAAATTCAGAGGTAACTTTGAGTAGAAATTTCACCTTAGTCCTTTGACACAGCAACCACTGTATGTTTTCTCATGGAAAGCACATTTAAATAAGAATGTATTGGAAGAGACTAACCAATCAAGTTGAATGGAATGGGTTACATATTGAATTTCACTTCTGATTGATAATTTACTCACTGTTTGCTAAGTAGGTAATTCCCTTCTTTGTTGTTACATTAATTAATTTCCTTTTATAAAATTTACCAAATAACCTCCTCAAAGTAAACCTGAATTTTTTCAAATAGCTTATTTTTTCTTTGTAAAAAAATAAATGCACATAATGTCAACACCAAGGTAGCAAATGGCATGCAATGAAAAGTAAATCTTTCTTTCACTTACTTTACCTCATTTATTTGTCTCCCTTACTGGATGAAATCATTGTCACTTGTCTATATTTTCAAAGATATACTTTGTATATACATATAATTCTTAGTTTTCATTGTTTTGTCTTGTTTTGAAACCAATACTAGACCACAAATCTCACTAATTTTCATTTTAAGTGATTTTTGGAAATTATTCATATCTATCTAAAAAAGTTTTATTATTTTAATTACTTGAATATTCAATATTTAAATATTATATCGTATGGATATAATACCTCATCTAATCAGTAATTTGTTCTACTTAAAGTACATATTCTTAATTCTATCATCCATTTTTAGTTTTTTTTTAATTGAGGCATACTTTAAGTACAACAAACTATCTGTGATTTTTTGACAGAAGTATATTATCATTTCTATTTTTGTCCTCCGTGTGAGTGTGTGCACACACACGCACATGCATGTGTTGCTTTTAATGATTTGGAAAGTTAAATTTTCAGTATTATGTAATTCCAGTTACAACTGCTTCATAATGAATTACCTAAAAATTAGTGACATAAAACAACCATTTTATTTTACTTAGAGTTTCTGTAGGTCAGGAATTTGAGCCGAATAGACCAGAATGACATCTTTTTGTGCTGCATTGTTTTCTGTGGGAACACTCTATGGTAGAGTAGAAACATTTTGAGGTGCCCATACCCACATCTGGAGATTGATGTAGGTTGCTGGCTGAGACCCCAGTTCTACCTGTGGACTAAGGCAACTACTTACTCATCATTTCATCTTCTGGTTAAAGCATTGGGCCTAATACATATTATAAACCTAATAAATATTTCTTGAACTGTTGATATATGACATCTAATTACCTAGTTTATAAATGAAAACATTGATTATATTTATCCTTTGAAAATAATCTATGTTTCATTATATTAAATTGATGATTATGTCATAAAGATTTTTTGATTAATGGATTTCATTTTCACCTGCATTTTCAGTGAGGAATCATTACAAATCATTCAGTTATAAAAATCAGTCCAGGGCTCTAGCTACATAATGATCAGCTATTTTTGTTTGCTTAGGTATATAGTTGGATTTTCCAGTGTTGTCATAAAGATATCAGTGTTATATTATGCAATAAATATTCATCAAAAACAGTATGAATTTAATCCATTTTTCAGCTCTTTCTGAGTAACACAAAAGAAAATTCTAATATAAAAGACCCTGTTCTCAAGAAGCACAAAGCAAGGTAAGAAAAAAGGAGGGTACTCCTTTAAAACATTTTGTTTTGTTTTTAATTTAAAAAATGTAATACAGGCAAAATTACAAATCATCTACCATCCTAACAGCTACATATAACCACAACAAATGTTTTATAATATAATCTCCCAGGTATTTTCCCCCTGTAATAATGTAGGAAAAAATAGTAGAGTGTATTATAGCATAGTTTTGGAATCAACAGAAATAGTTGAGAAAATTAATCTATTTAAACCTCAATGTTTACATGTTCAAAATAGGGGGGAAATATTACCTACTATACAAAGAAATTAGCACAATGTTTCAGTCATAAAAAACACTGTAAAATAGTTGTTGGTATTCTCAGGCTAGACCCTCATTCAGAGTTCAAACACTATAATTAGTTTAATATTCCTCTGTTAGAAATTTTATATTTTTCCCATGTTTTGTTTTCCTGGGTATTTTGTGTTGGTTTTGTGGGGAGGGTTTCTTTTTACAAGTAATGCTGACATGAACATCTTCAAATTATTTTTTACAGCTACACTTATAAATAGTCAAACAGATCTTTACAATAAAATCTGGAAGAAAAATGATTGAATAAGATACTTTTTAATTAATTAGGTTTCAAAAATATTCTTGCATTTGTTATAGATTACCCTGTGTTTTCTTTGTTTATTGTTTTGATTTATTTAGTTCATGGGCCTTTTAAAAGATATTTTATTTATTTTTATATAAGTTTATTTCATTATTATTCTCTTTGATAGGACTATGTGTAAGAGTTTTGATTCTGTCATCATATAATGTCAATTTATATTGTTAACTATTCAAGTTTGTTGAAGATCAGATAGTTGTAGGTGTGTGGTCTTATTTCTGGGTTCTCTAATCTGTTCCATTGGTCTATGTGTTTGTTCTTGTACCAGTGCTATGTTGATTTGGTTACTGTAGATCTGTAGTATAGCTTGAAGTTCAGTAGTGAAATGCCTCCAGCCTTGTCCTTTTGGCTTAGGATTACCTTGGCTATTTGGGCTCTTTTTTGGTTCCATTTGAATTTTAACATAGTTCTTTCTAGTTCTGTGAAGAATGTCAATGGTAGTTTAATGGGAATAGCATGCAATCTATAAATTGCTTTGAGCAGTATTGCCATTTTAACAATATTGATTCTTCCTCTCTGTGAATATAGAATGTTTTCCCATTTGTGTCATCTCTGATTTATTTGAGCAGTGGTTTGTAGTTCTCCTTGTGGAAATCTTTCAAGACCCTAGTTAGCCTGGATTCCTAGTTGTTCTTTTTGTGGCAATTGTGGATGGGAGTTCATTCCTGATTTGGCTCTTGGCTTGACTGTTGTTGGTGTATAGAAATGCTAGTGATTTTTGCAGATTGATTTTGTATCTTGAGACTTTGTTGAAGTGCTTATCAGCTTAAGAAATTTTGGGCTGAGAGTATGGAGTTTGCTTTTTTTTTTTTTTTCCAGAGACGGAGTCTCACTCTGTCACCCAGGCTGGAGTGCAGTGGTGTGATCTTGGCTCACTGCAACCTCCGCCTCCTGGGTTCAAGCAATTCTCCTGCCTCAGCCTCCCGAGTAGCTGGGATTACAGGCACATGCGACCACACCCAGCTAATTTTTGTATTTTTAGTAGAGACAGGGTTTCACCATGTTGGCCAGGCTGGTCTTGAACTCCTGACCTCAGGTGATCCACCCGCCTCAGCCTCCCAAAGTAGTGGGATTACAGATGTGAGCCACCTTGCCCAGCCTAGAATATGGAGTTTTCTAGATACAGGATCATGTCATCTGCAAACAGGGATAGTTTGACTTTTTCTCTTTCTATTTGAATGCTCATTATTTCTTTCTCTTGCCTGATTGCCCTGGCCAGAACTTCTAATAATATGTTGAATATGAGTGGTGAGAAAGGGCATCCTTGTCTTATGCCAGTTTTCAAGGGGAATGCTTCCAGCTTTTTCCCATTCAGTATGATGTTGGCTGTGGGTTTATCATATACAGCTTTTATTATTTTGAGGTATGTTAATTCAATACCTAGTTTATTAGGAGTTTTTAATGTGAAGGAATGTTTACTTTGGTTGAAAGATTTTTCTGCATCTATTGAGATAATCATGTGGTTTTTGTCTTTAGTTCTGTTTATGTGATGAATCACATTTATTGATTCGCATATGTTGAACCAGCTTTGCATCCCAGGAATGAAGCCCACTTGATCATTCGCGGTGGATAAGCTTTTTGATGTGCTGCTGGATTCGGGTTGCCAGTATTGTGTTGAGGATTTTTGTATTGATGTTCGTCAAGGGTATTGGCCTGAAGTTTACTCTTTTTGTTGTATCTCTGCTGGGTTTTGGTATCAGAATGATGTTGACTTCATAGAATGAGTTAGGGAAGGAATTCTTCCTCTTCAATTTTTTGGAATAGTTTCAGTAGGAATGGTACCAGCTCTTCTTTATACATCTGGTAGAATTCAGCTGTGAATCTGACTGGTCTTGGGCTTTATTTTTATGGTAGGTTGATATAGTTTGGCTATGTCCCCGCCCAAATCTCATCTTGAATCATAATTCTCATGTGTTATTGGAGGGATTCTGTGGGAGGTAAATGAATCTTGGGGGTGGGTTTTTCCCATGCTATTCTTATGATAGTTAACAAATCTCACGAGATCTGATGGTTCTATGAAGGGACGTTTCCCTGCACATGCTCTCTTGCCTGCTGCCACGTAAGACCCTTTGTTCCTCCTTCACCTTCCACCTAGATTGTGAGGCCTCTCCAGCCATGTGGAACTGTGAGGTCATTAGACCTCTTTTTCTTTATAAATTACCCAGTCTCAGGTATGTCTTTATTAGCAGCATGAGAACAGACTAATACAGTAAATTGGTACCAGTAGAGTGGGGTGCTGCTGTGTAGATACCCAAAAATGTGGAAGCGACTTTGGAACTAGGTAACAGGCAGAGGTTGGAATAGTTTGGAGGGCTCAGAAAAAGACAGAAAATTGTGGGAAAGTTTGGGACTTCCTAGAGACTTGGAGGGTTCAGAACACAGGAAGATGTGTGGGAAAGTTTAGAACTTCCTGGAGACTTGTTGAATGGCTTTGAAAAAATGCTGATAGTAATATGGACTATAAAGTCCAAGGTAAGGTTATCTCAGATGAAGATAAAGAACTTGTTAAGAACTGAAACAAAGGTGACTCTTGCTATGCCTTAGCAAAGAGACTGGTGGCATTTTGCCCCTGTCCTAGAGGTCTGTGGAACTTTGAACTTAAGAGTGATGATTTAGGGTATTTTGTGTAAGAAATTTCTAAGTGGCAAAGCATTCAAGTGGAAGCAGAGCATCAAAATTTGGAAAATTTGCAGCCTAACAATGCAATAGAAAAGAAAACCCCATTTTGGGGGAAAAATTCAAGCCAAGCCAGATGCACAAATTTGCATAAGTAATGAGGAGCCAAATGTTAATCACCAGGACAATGGGAAAAATGGGAAAATGTCTCCAGGGCATGTCAGAGACCTTCACAGGAGCCCCTCCCATTACAGGCCCAGAGGTATAGGAGAAAAAATGGTTTCCTGGACCTGGCTCAGGGCCCCCCTGCTCTGTGTAGCCTAGGGACTTGCTGCCCAGCATTCCAGAAGCTTCAGCTGTGGCTAAAAGGGGCCAAGGCACAGTTCAGGCCATGGCTCCAAAGGGTAAAAGCCCCAAGCCTTGGGAACTTCCATGTGGTGTTAAGCCTCTGGGTACACAGAAGTCAAGAATTGAGATTTGGGAACCTCCACCTAGATTTCAGAGGATGTATGGAAATGCTTGGATGTCCAGGCAGAAGTTTGCTGCAGGGGAGGGATTCTCATGGAGCACCTCTGCTAGGACAGTGCAGAAGGGAAATGTGGGGTTAGAGCCCCCACACAGAGTTCCCACTGTGACACTGCCTAGTGAAGCTTTGAGAAGAGGGCCACTGTCTTCCAGACCCCAGAATCAACAAATAACAGCTTGTACTGCACACCTAGAAAAGCCACAGACACTTAATGCCAGCTGGTGAAAGCAGCTGAGTCACAGGAGCAGAGCTGCTTGCAGCCCACGTGGCTGGAGAAGCCTCACAATCATGGCAGAGGGCAAGGAGGAACAAGTCACATCTTATGCTGATGGTGGCAGGCAAAGAGAGGAGTGCTTGTGCAGGGAAACTCCCCTTTTTAAAACCATCAGATCTCATGAGACTCAATCACTATTTTAAGAACAGCGCAGGAATGGCCCGCCCCCATAATTCAATCACCTCCCACTGGGTTCTTCCCACAACAAGTTGGAAATGTGGGAGTTACAATTCAAGATTAGATTTGGGTGGGGACATAGATAAACCATATCATTCATATTTGCAAATTTATTTTTTATTTTCTTTTCCTTTTAAATATATTTTTCTTGTGCATTGGTATTATTAATACCAATATTTGCAAAACATGTAGCTTTAAAGTGGTTTTCTGTACTTCTAACAAAACTTCTTCCTAAGATGGTTGGTAACCCTTGATTGTCAATTAAAATTTATTTGTGAGATCTGTGACTGATTTGGGGGACACTATCGACTTTGGACTACTGCAGATCCCTCTAAAATCATCATGTAATGAATGTTTCATAAATTATAACTGTTCTTTGTTGTAGGTCCAATGCTTACAATGTCTGCCAAAGAATTGTTATTGGTATTTGTTCTCAATGAAACAATTCATCCTGGCTCTCTCACTTGGTCCCAACTGTGACTTTTAAGATCAGGTTTTTAGATCATGGGTATTTTTTTAAATTATTGTTGTTTTTTGTTTTTGTTGTTGTTTCCACTGGGCATATGTGGTAGAGAAAGGGTATACATGGTGGTCTTTGCAAATTGTCCATATATTCCTAAGTGCCCAGAAATACATTCAAAATATTTAAATCTATTTCTAGTTATTTTGAAAAGATGAGTGGGAGTCCTCCAGAAAATCCAGTCTACTGTGATCCTGAAAACATGCTTTGCTCTACTTGCTAAATTATATAATTCCACCCTTTGACCAGAACACCACATTTGTCCAAAAATTCCAATCCCATGTTAAAACCTAAGTTATGTTATCTCATTAAGGTTTATATTCATTTGATGCCTCCCTACTTCTCCAGACTTTCTTTCAAGGCTTCTTTTTGGCCTTGCTTCATTTTCTACAAGTCAAAACTAAATAAAAAATAATTTTAGTCAATCTCTCAGGACTGTGTGTAGAATTTCTTCAAAATTTCCAACTTTTATCAAATATTCTTAGACTCTTTGTAATTCTTCAGCTGTAAATCAATCCAGTCATTTATATTGTTTTTCTCTTCCAATAAGTTACTGCTCCAGTGAAGAAAATATTACATACCCTTTGACTGTCTTTATTTTTTAAAATGTCATTTAATATTATTTTGGTTCTCAGAATGCTTATCAATTCTTTACTCATTTCCAGGTGATTCCATTCCCTTAAATTTTGGTTGGAAGGTAATTCCAAAAGACTCTACTACTTATTCTACTTTTGGCTTTATAAACAAATGTAACTTACTTCAGTTAAAAAAAAATTAACTTTTAAAGGTAAATTATGTTACCATTCTTTCTTTCAAATTAATTTGTATTTTAATTACATTTATTTTTTTTCTCATTAGCATAAAATTATCCAAGGTAATTTTCTCTACCTATTTATTCATTACTTAAGCAAAAAAATTGGAATCTTGATGTACTTATGAAGTATATTAGATATTTGAATACAAAGATGTATAAGACAAAGTGGCCACAATTGCTGAAGACAGTCATGTAAATTAAACTCAGACATTCATGAGACTGTATAAGTGGTAAAGTTAAAAAGTGCCATAAAGCTTAGGGAGATAAATTCAAAAATGTGTAACAAGCGGGAAGAAAGAAAACTTTCAAATGCAATATTGGTTTTGAAAAGTTGCCTAAAGTTTCATTAGGGTGAAAGGAGTAAGATAGATATTCAAAACATAGAAAAAGAATCTGCAAAGGTACTGATATCTGAGAAATAATTGCATGGTTAAAGAGCTGATTACAGTTAGGTATAATTAGCTAAGGAACTACAAGAGGAAGTAGTAGTAAGAAAAAAACTTATCTCATTTTGCTTTATGTATATTTTAAATATGTTGATCTCTATTCCATAGCATGATTCAGGGCACTTATCCATCACCTACTGTTTACCATTTATTCTAGTTCCAGATTAATTATTAAGAAGTGTTCAATACATGCTTTATTGATGAAAAATAACTGTTATCATCTGATTTAGACACAAATGGCTGTACTTTAAAAACTAACAAAATTAAAATTTAAAATTCATGTATGTGTGTCCACACACTATTAAAATATATGTTACTTTTAAAAGGGAGGGACTCTATCATATGGCAATCCTTTCATTCATCACCTCAGAAGGTGCAAGTCAAAGTCTCGAAAAAAATACATGACACCAGACTTGAAAATGCCAATGCAATTATTGATAAAGCAAGAAAACCCATTTCCTATAAAAGCATATGTTTGTATATAAGTGAAATTGGGCTGAAAGTAGATACGAAAGAATATCCAAGACATCATAGGTAGCAGAGGAATAGAGCACAGGAGGAAGAGAAAATGTAGAAGTAGTGGAGATTGTCAGTGTGATAGAGCGAGTGGAAGAAGATGCTACACATTGGTCTGACAATATATACACAGTCAATGCCCTACAAAAAAGTTTTTTAAGTAAAATATTTTAAATATTTTATGAACATACAAAGTGGAATGACATCCCATAAGACTACATTTTGAGTATGATGAACAAGTAGGCCGTCAGTGACAACCAAAAGTGGAAGAAAATATTAAATATATTGTGGGGAAATGAATTTTCCCCAATATAAGTGCTTTCTAAATATTTTCAATTATTTTACCATTTTGAATTGTGGTTAAAGTTGTGCTCAATTTAGGTTGTAAATTGCAATTATTCCAAAGCTCCTCTGTGAGAGACTGCCAGATCTAACTGAACAACACCGCAAAAAGATTAATTGTTCAGTAAGTATTATTGCTTCAACTATATCTCACAGATATACAAGCCTATATTGCTTACTTTCTGCCAAAGGAAATTTAATTTTCGCTAAGAAATAAAAGGTAGGAGTCAGAAAGAATTCATATTATTTTTCAAGAAGAATTTACTTCGTTTCTCAAACCATCAATAAAATGAGGATTAGACTTTATGCCCTGCTTCTCTTAAATATATTGTGACTGTTGACTTTTGCTATAGTAAAAATATTTTCTTTGACAGTGCAATAAAATTAGATGTACTCAAAATACTTGAGCAAGCAGTGAATGCTTTTAAGTAGAGAAAATATAATTTTTAAAATACAAGCATTAAGATTAAAAAAGAGCCCTACTCCAAAAAAGAATATCTGTCAGAAAAGTTATTTAGATAACATAATATTAGTAGCATCTGAACAGAAATGTATGTTATGCCTTAGCTGTAATATAACCTGCATGGAAGAAGAGATTAAATGTGAGATTTTTAAATACCTTTACCTTAAAAAAAGAAATATAATATGCATTCTTAAAATTAGAGCCATGTGGGTAGTCTAACATCTGCTACCTGCTGCTGCTGACCATAGTTGTTAAAAGTACCCTAAGCCACCTGACATTAAACTAATAGTTCATTTTTTAAAAATGTACTTGTTATGTGATATAAAGTCCTATTTTATGTGCTTTACTGCCCTGAAGAGATACTTCTGTAGAATAAAATCCAATCTCATTTCGGGTTCATTATGATAACCTTTATGCAAGACACTTGGAGAAATTATTATGAAGATAAGTGTACCAAGACCCTGAATAATGGTTAAAAAAATAAAACTGAGTAACTCCATGGTATATTAGTGTTCACTTATATATAATTCTAACGTAGGTTGATTGTCCAATGTGTCTACAAGTCAAATAGTAATAGAGTATCTAAAATTCTTATAAATTCAGGTAATTTTTATTTGCAAAATCACCAATTATCATTTGACATCTCTTTTTTTTCTGATGTGCAATTATAGTAGTTACAGGCACCCATGTTGGTAGCCCCATAAAGTTGATAACTGAGAAGTTCTATCCAGCTGGATCTGTCCTTTCAGATGGCTTCACTGAATAGTGGATCTTGATTTCCTCTTTCAGTGTTATCCCACAAGGGCAAAATATTTTTGCCTGCTTCATGTTAAAATATAAATTTTAATTTACTTGCCTTTACAATGGGAAGGTGTCTCTCTCTCTGGGAATAAATAAATAACAAACTTGTGCAGAGTTTCAACGTTGGTATTTTTGAAAACGAACTCATCTTCCCTTCTGCCTGCTGAAAAAGAGGATCAAGATTTTAGAAAGCCCAGCTATATACTTCTCCAGATAAAAGGGAAATTTGTTCTTCAGAGTACGCCTGTTGAAACAACATTTTAACTCATACCTCTTAGTCTGTTGCTCATTACTAGTGTTTTCTTCCCCTCCCTTTGAAAAAAAATAAAGTATTGAAGAATGTACTGATGACTAAATGGAAATGTATATATCTTATTTAATCACTTAATAAAGACCTATTATAAGCTAGTTAAAATTATTGAACATGTAACAGCAATATGAATATTAGCGATTTAATTAGTCAATACACATAGAGATTTCATATTATATGAAGAAATTCGTTTTTAATAAAATTGATATTATATAAGAGAAATATTTGTTAGAGCTATTATATTAATCTCTAAGCATATAAATAAAAAACTACTCACTTAACTGCTACTGTTTTTTTTTCTTTTGGCACAATTTAGCAATTATCACATTCAACCTCTGTATTTTCTTTAAAGAGCATTTCTGTAAAATTAATGAACTTTCTACTCCCCATTGAACATACAGATTTTATAGAAGCTGAGAAAATAACCACCAATCCAATGAGCAGAAACATTTTTATATGTATATCTAAATGTATTTTTATGTCCATAATAAATTTCTTTTTGTAAGTATATAGTTCATTGATATTGATAGGTATAGCAGGAAAATCTTTAGCTTTCTAATCACTTGGTAAGTCTCTGATTATGGACATAAAATGTATGTGTATAAATATATATACATATATATATATATACACACACACACTTACATCAAATATATGTCATATATATCATGCTTTATCATTTTTGAAATAGCAATAATTATATACATGCTACATTCTAACAATATTGTTGCCTGTGTGACATCCATTTATTTTGTTGTTAATATGAGAAGTACCCTGATTCTACTTCGAGGAATTTTTCTATTATTGGATTAAATCTTGTGGGGCTTCAAATAAGGCATTCTACTCCTGGGCAAAATGTAGCCAAACTCAAGAGACCAATTACAGGGTTTATCCCTAGAATTTGAATCTTGACTGACTGGGTTTGACTAAGCACTTTCCTAGTATATACAGTGTGCTATGCAAGTAATTTCTTTAAGGTCTAAAGTGAAATGGAAAAGGTTGGGATATTCTATTTACAATTCCTCTTCTTTTGTAGATTAGGTTTTTTTTATCTTTTGAGTAGGATCTAAATATTATGATTGTAAGTACTCAGCTTTGAAGCTGGATTGATAAATTTCTGGTAGATTTCTGAGGAAACGGGGAGAAAAGAATATTTTAATTTCAACATTTAAAAAATTCAACATTAATGGCTTTAATTAAATTCTTTATTTGTGAAGTCAGTCTTCTCTACCAATTTCTTCAAATGGAAGAAAAAGAGTCACTTAAGAAGTTAACTTTTTTATTCAAATGGATTTTGTTAAGAGAGATTGTGAAGAAATATAATTAACATTTTCATCATATTATCAAAATGAAGAGCAAGTAATAGTTGGACTTTATAATTTGATTTCTATCTTTATGAATGACACAATGGTTCACAGTTCATATTCTTCCTCAATCCAATTAGATATCCTAAACACTTTTTCTGAAAGTCCAAACTTTTTAAAATAATTCAGCTTGAAGAATTGTCATCTTATACTTCGTCCAATATCAATGTATGTTAGTAATAAATAATCTTATTTTTATTTAACATTGTTTAGTTATTTCAGGCTAGGAAATAGGTTAAACGTTTATATTCTGGTTCAGTTTCATCAGTCCTCTGCAAATTGAAGTTCAAAAATATTTATTTGATGCGCTATTGATTATGTAAAGCAAGATACAGTTTTGATGTAACATTGTTGGTACGATGACAGGTGTTCCAGGAATGGACTGCAAATATATTGTTTTGTACTATTGAATGTACCTGAGAAACTGTACAGTTTTCAATTTGGTATACATCACACATAGTGATGTAATTTAGGAAACAAAGTAATGAATATCGCCCAATCATTGAATCATGAAAAGTGGAAAGACACTCTACAAAAATTCAGACAATATTTCATTAACTAATTAATAAGGTTCTTCTAACACATAATACAAACATTTGCTGATTATAAATTTTTCTGTAAAATTACTTATAAATAGCATGATGGCACTTGGCCTGTATTAGCTTTGTTGTCATAAGTCATAAAAACAGTTGTGCCAATCTTTGACCTGTAACTACTTCCCTAGAGAACTTGATGTATCAACAAATTAGGGCTTTTTTTTATGTGACGACAAGTTCTGAGAAGGCAATTTGGGAAAATAAAATCTCTGGACAAATCCTCCAAAGCATTTCCAATTACTTGGCATGGCATTGATGGATTTTTATTTTGCTCTTGAAATTAGTAGCATACACAATTTGAACCAACAAATATCCTCCTTAGTCTGAATGTGTCAGCAGTTAAACTGAAGAATACTTATTTTACTGCTTGATGAATTGGAGAATAAACAATTAATCATAGATATTCCTTTCCTTCTTTTAACCTTTGATGGATGTTCTTATATACATCATGTCATTGATGGATATTTATTCCACTTCTGTAAATAGTGATGCATAAAACTTTAACGGCAGATACATGCCTCTTCCACTCGTCATGCATAAAAATGTAATTGCTACATTGCTGAGAGATAATGGACTGCATCACTTTAGAACCTAAGTTACTCTCGGTTAGTTCCTTTCTTAGAAAGACTTATTAGCACAAGTGACTATTGTTTTTGCTTAGAGAACTGCAGTAGAGACAAATGTAAGAGCTTTGCAGCCATTATACTATTAAGCTATTTAGGGTTTTAGGGTTGGGGCTTTGTGTTGTTTACATTATATTCCCAATGTTTAAAGCAGCTCATGTCATGGCTATTTGCTGAATCAATGCGTAAACTATTCACAGGAATGAAGACTATTAGAATGAATTGCTATCAGTTTATTCATTCATCTGTCTATCCATCTATCCATCCATCCACCTACCCATCCATCCATCCATCCAGCCATCCATGCATCCATTCGTCCATCCACCCATCCATTCACTGTTTTATTGACTGCTTAAAGATTAGTCTACCTGACTGTCTGAAATGCCTCTTTTCATTCATATCTCAAAGGCTTACACACTTACATGCCTACAAATCCTTTGGGACTATCATTCCAATTCAAATATAAGGTTTTTATCTGTATTTAATTAGCTATTTCTGCCTTTTCTGTGGTGTTTGATTCTGCTGATGACTCTCTTCTTGAAGTTACCTTTTCTTATATTGAGGACACATCTTGGCTGGGTGTGGTGTCTCAAGATGGGCAGATTGCTTGAGCCCAGAAGTTTGAGACAAGTCTGGAGAACATGGTAAAACCCTGTCTTTACTAAAAATACAAAAGTAGCCAGGTGCACACCTGTGGTATCAGCTACTCAGGAGGCTGAAATGGGAGGATTGCTTGAACTCGGGAGGTGGAGGTTGACTTGAGCCAAGATCATGCTACTGCACTTCAGCCTGGGCAACAGAGCAAGACCCTGTTTCCAAAAAAAAAAAAAAAAAAGAGAGAGAGAGACACATTTTTTTTGGTTTGTTTTTTCATTTGAGCTCTGTTTTGGGGGCATCTTCTCAACTTCATCCACACTTGTATGCACATTACTCCTTTTCTAGTCTTAAACCACCTATTCATTCTTCATATTCTATAAAAATAATTTACCTAAAATAAAAATCTACTTATGTCACAGCTTTGCTTTAAATACTTTAATATTTTATCACCTATGTGATAAAGCTAAATTTCACATAGTATGCAAAACTCTTCATATTATGACCTCCATTAGTATTTCCACAATCACCTCCTTCCACTCTCACACCCAAGCCCTATATTTCAGACAAAATGGTACAAATTGTGGCTTTCTGAGTGGGCCATGATTTCTGATACCTTTTGACATATTAGTTCTCTCTATTAGGACAGCTGTTCCTTTTATTTTCTTCTCTATCATTAGGATGCTTATCCAGCCAAGATGACTTAGCTCAAATTTCACCTTTTTTGGGAAGGTAGTCCTTAAGTACTTTGGCAGAATAGCACTTCCTAATCATGCTTTGAAATATTTTTGAAAATTCTTACATAACGCTTTTTATTACAGTAGAACTTTTTCATTATATTCATTATAGTATATTTCACAATAATAAGATGAATTATTATAGTGAAATTATAATATGAATGATTTCAAAATAATTGAAGTGAGTACATTTTATTCTTATATCCACAGACGTTAGCTTATAATTGAATATATATTTAAAGATTGAAGTAAGAAATGAAGTTCAAGATAGGAAACTGAAAAAAATTAAGAGGCATAGTTACTCTAGCAATTTTTTCTTTGAGTTAAAGATTTTCATCATGACAGAGAAAAGAAGATGTGTATTGTGAGCAAATTTATACATAGTGTCTAAAAACAGGAATTGTTTTCTAAATTTTGATTTATGAAGTTAATATAATGAATCTTTTTAAGGGGACTAAGTATATTTTATAAAACTGAAGAAGCCTGATTGTATTGAGAGGCGTACTGGTATGAATAAAAGGGCTTTAATTTGAAATTTTTTTAATATGAAATTTGATGAGAAAAAATATCAAATACAATATTGAACATATATTAAAAATATGCATAAAAGAGAAAAATATTTTATAAACTTAAAAATATTTTATAAACTCCTTAGAAGTCTTCCGTAGAAAGTAACACATAGACTGGCAGGGTATTACAATCTCATGATAAAATATTTATGTAGTGTTATCCAGAATGTAAGTCACTTATAAACAGTGATAATATGCATACAAGTATTTGTAAACATCCGAATCCTTCTGGAACATTGATATTTTGAAAATTTGCAAATCTGATGAAGTATTTGACTAACTAGCCTTATACAAAATTTTTTCTCTTTAAACAAATAAGAGGAAGTAACAATAGGAATTCCTACTTTGAAACAACTGTTGACGAAAAAGGATAAAGTAGTTGGCTACTATTGAAGAACCAGAAGATAGTGACCAAATTACCTTAGCATTACATTAGTTATCCTAAGATTTTGGCCGGGTGTGGTGGCTCACACCTGTAATCCCAGGACTTTAGGAGGCCAAGGTGGGCGGATCACTTGAGGTCAAGTGTTCAAGACCAGCCTGGCCAACATGATGAAACCCCGTCTCTACAAAAAATACAAAAATTAGCCAGGCCTGGTGGCAGGCACCTGTAATCCCAACTACTCAGGAGGCTGAGTCAGGAAAGTTGCTTGAACCTGGGAGGCAGAGGTTGCAGTGAGCTGGAGCACCACTGCACTCCAGCCTGGGTGACAGAGCAAGACTCCATCTCCACCACCCCGCAAAAAAAAAAAAAGTTATCTTATATTTTTCATTTTACACCTGAGATAGTCTAATAAAGTAATGATAATAACAATTTATATAGCAAATGTCATGTGAGAATAAAGGACAATTCCACCAATGTAAATAAAAGATTTAAGGTGATTCAAGATTGTAGTATATCAAAATTCCACAATGTATTACCATCAATTAAAAAAAAAAGAACAGGCATAATCTTGTAAAGCTAAAAAAGAAAAAAAGGGAGAAAACAATCAGTATGAAATCTTTAATACTTGGAGATCTCCAATTCAACAGAATCTATAAACTAAAACTAAGATTTAATATTCAGCTATCTAGAAGACTGTTTATACTACTTTTTTCCTGAATGTCTGACTGAAAGTTAAATTTCGTTGTAGCGGCCTAGGAGTATATTGCTTAGATATTAGTCATATAAGTCAGAATACATTGGAGGAAAGTGTCAGTTCTACTTATAGTAATTTATGTGGGTCCTTGTTATGCTTTATGTTCAGAAGATGAACTAGTTAAAATTTGAGATTATAACACAAAACACAGCTTGTTTTTGAAAAATGATGAAATAAATCTGGTGTATTTATCATGAATAAGAGATAGTTAATAGAGATTACTATAGGTGCATGATTGTTTGAAGTCTTTGGTTTCTAAAATTTAAATTTATTCAATGTTACTTCATAGGGTCAAGGGAAAAAAAACTGCCTGGTTTCAAATAGACTTTCCAATAGTTCTGACCATCCAAGACACCGTGCTTCTTGAAAAATACATTTTCTCTCACTGAAAATGTATAGTAAGCCTATAGTGGTATCTATGTCAGGAATGTTGTGAAAGAATTTCTGAGGCATATGGGACTTTTATGCAGCAAATTTTTAAGGTAAGTAATTGATTTTTTTTATTTTGTATTGTAATACTTTTTCTTCTTTAGATAATATTAAATCATACAGCATGCATATTTTAAGAGAAAAATAAGGTCGAGACTTTGTAGCATCACAACTCTGTATTTTTACTCAGAAATGCTTGGAATATTCTTTCTTTCCATATGATTTTTGAATAACACTTCAATAGATCTTTCTGATATTGGGGAAAACAATTTAGCTTTGCTTCTTCTCTATAACCTAGATAATTTATTGTCAGTTGATTTTATAAAGATATGAGGCTAGTGTGTGTTTCACACTCATGTGTAAGTTCTACTATATATCTGGATAACCATTTTTAAATATGGAAATAAAGTGGGAAGCTGGAATGCTTTTCTCGGAAAGACAGAATCATAAATATCAATGCATTGCCATCTTTCCTTCTTGCCCCTGTCTCTTTTTCATCATTATTTTTCCTTCAAATATTTATTAGATTAATTTTCCAGGATTGAATTAGCCATGGGGGTAGAAGAAATAGTAAAAAAAAAAAGTATGCTTTTAACAAATACTCATTATTTAATAGTGTAGACATGAAAAACACAAAACATATTAGTAATTTATAATAAACCTCCATATTGGAAGTATGCAAAAGTTATAGTTTAAAAGAGGGATTGACTTTATTCTTTGGAGGTCTAATGGCCGAGTTGGATCTTGAAAGTTAAGTTATAGTTTACCAGCCAAATATAAGACTAAAAATAATTTCAGGAAGTGATGGTTTCCTGTTTAAGGTTATGAAGGTGTGAGATCAGATGGTGAAAAAAGGGGTTATTTGGCGTGGCTGGAGAATATAGCAAGAGGAAGATGAGTATTGTGGAAAATGAAACTAGAAGACAGGCAGATTCTAGAGGCTATGGGAGTATTTTATGCCTTGCAAAGAAATGCCAGTTTTATTCTGTAGCTGACAGTGGCTTATCAAATGGATTTAAGGAGACAAATAATATGCATACATTTGTCCCTTAAAGAGAAGATTCTGGTATATGATTACTTGGCAGTGGATGGTACTAGAAAGTAGAAATACTCCTAAAATCAGCCTGTAGCCTAGTGGAGAGGTGGTTAATATTCAGGTCTAGGGCAGTGCTATGGAGAGGGCAAGAGGGATCTAATAAGTTGAATTTGGGCTGTGATAATTTAATAGTCTTTTGAAAATTGTGGGTGAAAAACATTGTAGTGATTACCTCAGCTAACTCCAAAATTTTTGGTGGCAGTATTAAGTAAGATGGAGCAGATTTTGGAGAGGAGAGGGCATGATGCTGATAATGTAGGATGACTATTACTTAGGTATTTCAAAACTACTAATATATTTTTTCCCTGAGACTTTACTCTGATGTAAAATTTAGAAAACTTTAAATTATTTGATATCTGAAACTAAATTATCACTTTTTATGATTTTAAAGATATGTACATTCCAAATTCACATTTCTCAAATATGTATTTAGAAATTACTTAAACTTTCATATAATGCTTCGAAACCCAAAATAAACATTGGGTTAAATAAAAATATGGAAACATCTGTAGTTACTGAATGGAAATTACAAATGTTAGATTTTTAAGAATAGTAGTAACATACACCTCCCAAATCTTTTCTTACCTACTCATATTCATTTCCAATATCACTGAGTAGCTTTGAATAAACAGCTCAGAGATATTTCACATTTACGTCTCTTAATATATCAACTATGTAATCTTAAGTATCTTTAATTTTTAAATAATATTTCTCTTCCACTTGATAAATTTCTATTATCTCCATGAATATTAATTCCTACCTTTACAAACTGAAATCCGTATTTGTTAACAGGTAAGGTTAATAAAACCTATGGAGAGATTACTTCTCATTCCTTGTTGTGTTTCAGAATTATTTTTATTGGTTAAAATAGCTATTCATGGCTCCTTCACAAAAACCTGATATGTTTTTGTCCTCATTTTTAAACTAATCCTTTCCTCATATTTTCTATTCCTGTCACATTGGCTTTCTTGCTGTTCCTCCTACTTAATGGGCAAACCCCTGATTTAGTAACTTTGCACTCTCCCCAAGATATCTGCAAAGCTTGCTTCAAATGTCACCTTATCAATGAGGCCTGCCTGATATTTAAATTAAAACACCTCCCATTCACTTTTATTCCAATTTTTTCATTGTACTATTTATAAAATATATCTTTTAAAATGTATTTATTATTGTTATTATCCTTTTATCTCATTAAAATTTACATTCTACAGTGTTTTTTTTTTCATTTTTGTTCCCATAGCTCTCAATTACCCCCTACAGTGCCTGACATACATTAAAGGCTCAATAAATAAATGAATTTACTGAATGAGAAGTTCTGAATTTGGAACTCAAGAAACTCTACTGTTGAAAACTCCATATGCAATTATCTCCTTTTGTCAGGATTGCAAAATCCCTGACCTAGAGATCAGCATATAAACAATAATACACTTTTTAACAGATAATTAACAATAGTTCAAACCAGGAGACTTTTTGAGCCCTCTTGTGATATTGGTTAGCTATCTCTTTTGTCTTTGGTGTAGAAAGGGTTTATTCTTTAATAGGCACAAAGCTTTCAGATCTGCTGCTAGTCTGTGGATACAATAAACTGCAATTTTCTTTTTGTTAAAATTAGTAAAACCTGTTTGTGTTAACATCTTAAGCAAATACAATTCAACAATTCATGAAGAGGGGATATGATGCCATGCATTTAGTTATTTCTGATTCTATCAGTATTTAATATTTGGCTGCAAACTTTAAATTGAGCTTTATATTGTCCACAGTTATTACAATTCTTGAATCATCAGTGAAGCTGGTAAAAACAGGAACAGTTTTCTCCTAAATACTTGTCTCATATGGTATTAACTTCTGGACTAATAAGAAGAGTAGTAAGATTTAGCTGGACAGGCAATTAGGCAAGAAGAATGACTATAATAAATGCAACAACGGATACTCAAACTTTATAATGACAAAATAATCAGAGTGTGTTTACAAGTTAGATTAGAGATTGTAGACTTAACTTTTTAGCAGTTGTTGTGGGGAATGTAGACAAACTTACACAAGATAGGTTGACAGATATTTAGATAATAGATGATATGGTGGGTGGGTGCATAGATGGATTGATAAATAAAAATATAAAAAACAAAGTGTTCTACTTACTTGTATTTGATGTAAATATAATTAGTACCTTAGTACCAGACCTTGAGTTTGAACTATGTTTTCCAGATTCCTATTTGAAACTCTCATTTTGACAGCCTATGTAGTTCATACTGTTTTATTAGGCACCATATTACAAATCATCAAGCAAGAAAATGGAAATTCTTCAGAGTTTTAACTACTTGGATTAAATTGCTATATTCAACTCTGCCTAAGCGTCATGGGATGAAAATAACCTTTATGGTATATTTCAAATGATATTTGCCAACAGAAAAGTTTAAGGAATATATGCTATAAGTAAATATTCCCTGCTCAAACACTATACCCTTACCTTCTTAACCAGATAGGCATAGTCTTACATGTTGAGATTTTGGAGAACATATTTGCAAAAGGGAGTGATCAGATGTTCTGGACATATTTAGACATGACAATATTACTGGAAAGAGAAGTAAAAGGTATACTATATGGAATACATCAATTCAGCAAGCTATTTTGTAATTATATTTCTTTAAAATGTATTTGACTCCAGGCCACTCTGAGAAAAGCAGCTGATTTGCTCTGTATTCATTTAAGACCTAGACCTCTGATCTCCCCACTTGGCACACTCAGTGAAGAGCAGCAGCAGCTAAAAAATGATAAGCGGATAGTACTGTTCAGATTTCAGAATAGAACCAGGGCATGATAGAATGAATCAATCCTCAGGTTTTATGGATTTGTAAAAGCAATGTGCACTTCAAGAAGATTGTAGAATGTCATTTTTTTTCTGCATTCTCAATAATTTTTATCCACATATACTTCTTGTTTTGTAATCACATTTTCCACTCTCTTTTGTTTTGTTTTGTTAAATAAACCTTCAAGGAATGAGAAAGTAAAGTGACTACCTAAGTAAAGAATGATAAGCTGAATAAAAATAAAGCTTTTTATGTGTTTTTAATCGTTTTATGGTTAAAATTGGGTATGCAAATTTTGATGTTTTTGAGGAAGTTTGTATCTGTAAATGAAACTGATTGCAAACTGTGAATCTCTGTGTATGTCAGTGATAGACAAAATAATTGCCTTCCAAATATATCCTCTTCCCAATCCCAGGACATTAAAATATGCTATGTTGTATGGAGAAGAGGAATTTAGTTTTGAGACTAATTTAAATTTGCTGATTAATTGACCACAAGATGGGAAGTATAGCCTGGATTATCCAGCTGTGCCCAGTGTAATCACAAGAGTTTCTAAAGTGGAAGCAGTAAGGTTGAAGGTGGGTCAGAATGATAGCATGAGAGAAGGACTTGACTGCCATTGCTTGATTGAAGATAGGGAACGAGTCAGGAATGCAAGTGGTCTCTAGAAGCTGGAAAATGCAAGGAAACAGATTTTCCTCTAAAGTCTCCACAAGGAATGCAGTCCTACCGATTCCTCATCCCTGTGAAAACTGTACTGGCCTTCCCACCTACAAGACTCTAAGATAATATTAAGTCACTAAGTTTGTGGTAATTTGTCACAGCAGTCATTTTAAAAAGCTAACACAATATCTATTTAATAAGTATATTGTCACTCTATGGACCTTGGGGGAGGGGGTGGTAATTCACTCAACAGTTATTTATGACACTTTAAAATTTTCTTTCATTTTACGGTCAAACAAGGAGTGCCAGAGTTTTGGTGTATATACCTGAGATAATAGCCTTAAATGTAACACAGATAAAAATAAAAGAGATGAATTTCTTAATTTATTTTATAGTCAGCTAAAGAAACAAGATCACTAACACTGATTGTTAACATTATTGTTATTAACATAATACTTTGAGAAAGCTTTGATAGTCATCATCAGGCAAAAACTAATTAAAAAAATTTTTAAAACATTATATTGAAATATTGGAATTTTGCCCTACAAAACTTTTGGTACTATGATCTCCTTCCTGGGTTGTAAATGTTCTTTCAGAATTTTATTTATTTGTAGGAACATACATACTTCATATGAGTATATAGAATTTCTATTACTTTGTTTAGACCGTTGTAAAAGTTTTTGAAAATTTTCATTTTACATTGAATACTGGAGCCCATAGTTCCACGGACTTGATTCCATATTTCTCCTTGTTCAGTGACAAATTTATAACGTGCATTCAATAGTAAATTTCACAGCATACTGGAATGGGCTATATGGTACCTCTTAGTACAACTATTAATTTCTAAGAGTATTTTCCTTAGGCCATAATTTATATAAGCCTCTGTATTATTTATCACCAACTCTCTATCGATCATCTAGCTTAAGAATGTTTATTGCTAGGTTTATTTGAATTAGGGAAACAGAAAAGTAGTAAGGCCTCTGGGTATTAATGTTGGGTTTATGGGAGGATACTTATCATTCTCAAAAAAAGTTGACATTTGGTGGTTGATGTGCATATACTGCTGGCAAGTGCAGGGGGAGACTATGGTCCAAATGCTTGCTAGAAACATAAATTTGCATGTATATAATACATACAGATGTATTATATATACTATATTTCATATACATATAGAATTAACTGACCAGAATTAAAGTAACATGTGCTTAAATCATTGCCTTCCCACCTTCTTTTTTTTATGACTGCTCCAATTGCTCCACCACCAGAATCAGTAATGATAGGTTTAAACCTGGTGAGGCTGCAGAGGATGAGGTTGCCTGAGGACCCTGGCCCAGTCCTGTGGCCAGCATTAGCAGTGCTTGATTGGTGCCTAAATGTTAAGTATTAATGTCCAACACTCTTGGACATGTTTGGGTCCCAGCCAGGGGAGGATGATTGTTAGGGGAGGTGATACCTGCTGGAATATTAAAAATGAGTAATGAGGAGCTATTTAGGTAAAAAGGATGTAGAGGGTTGGGGGTAAAGACAGGTGATCCCGATCCAAGGGAAATCCTGAGCAAATGCAAGGAGGTGAGAAACAACCTCAGGAATTAAGATACTGGAGGAGTTTGAGGTGCTGTCCAGGGGATCATGGGAAGCAAGTAGTGGAATGAGAGGAGGCTGGAGGAGTTCATGGGGCCAGGCAAGGAAGGGCTGTAAGCACTACTTTAGGGCTCTCTTGTTTGTGTGTGTGTATATATAAATATATATATATATACACACACACATCTATATATATATATACACACATCTATATATATATACACACATATATATATACACACATCTATATATATATATATATATATACACACATCTATATATATATACACACTATATATATACTTTAAGTTCTAGGATACATATGCACAACCTGCAGGTTTGTTACATGTGTATACATGTGCCATGTTGGTTTGCTGTACCCATTAACTCATCATTTACATTAGGTATTTCTCCTAATGCTATCCTTCCCCCATCCCCCCACCCTACAACAGGCCCTGGTGTGTGATGTTCCCCACCCTGTGTCCAAGTGTTCTCATTGTTCAATTCCCACCTATGAGTGAGAACATGCAGTGTTTGGTGTTTTCGGTCCTTGTGATAGTTTGCTCAGAATGATGGTTTCCAGCTTCATCCATGTCACTACAAAGGACATGAATGCATCCTTTTTTATGGTTGCATAGTATTCCATTGTGTATATGTGCCACATTTTCTCAATCCATTCTATCATTGATGGACATTTGAGTTGGTTCCAAGTCTTTGCTATTGTGAATAGTGCCACAATAAACATACATGTGCATGTGTCTTTATAGTAGCATGATTTATAATCCTTTGGGTATATACCCAGTAATGGGATTGCTGGGTCAAATGGTATTTCTAGTTCTAGATCCTTGAGGAATTACCACATTGTCTTCCACAATGGTTGAACTAGTTTACACTCCCACCAACAGTGTAAAAGTGTTCCTATTTCTCCACATCCTCTCCAGCACCTGTTGTTTCCTGACTTTTTAATGATCGCCATTCTAACTGGTGTGAGATGGTATCTCATTGTGGTTTTGATTTGCATTTCTCTGATGACATTTTGATTTGCATTTCTCTGATGACATAGGCATGGGCAAGGACTTCATGACTAAAACACCAAAAGCAATGGCAACAGAAGCCAAAATAGACCAATGGGATCTAATTAAACTAAAGAGCTTCTGCACAGCAAAAGAAACTACCATCAGAGTGAAGAGGCAACCTACAGAGTGGGAGAAAATTTTTGCAATCTACCCATCTGACAAAGGGCTAATATCCAGAATCTACAAAGAACTTAAACAAATTTACAAGAAAAAATCAAACAACCCCATTAAAAAGTGGGCAAAGGATATGAACAGAGATTTTTCAAAAGAAGACATTTATGCAGCCAACAGACACATGGAAAAATGCTCATCATCACTGGCCTTCACACTTTTTAAATTTAGCTAAAGTGATTCTCCATAGAAGCCACAAGAATTCATTCATTTAGTCCACTGAGCATGCACCACTTTTAGTCATTAATGAATGCATAAAAGGCAGTTACATTTGAATGAAATATTAATCTGGAAATTATCCACAGCTAAAACAAAAACTAATTTCTAGTTACATAAGGGAAGAAATTTAGAAAGAAAAAGAAAATTATTTTACATCAAGGAAACATGTGAAGAGAACCATGATCTGTAAATTTATTCTAAGCTTCACTGTGCCACACCATTATCTTGTCTTTACTGAAAGGCAGACATTCAGTTTACAGTAGGACATGGACTGGCTGCGAAGTTAGGACTTTCATTTTCACTTAGTGAGCTATTTTGGGAGAGATCAGACAATCAGTGCTCTGATTTTATAAACCAGAAATAAATCCATTCCAAAAGAGCCACCAAAGCCAAAGTTATTCTTTGCTATCCTTCAATTAGTAAAGGTTTTGGGGCTGGGCATGGTGTCTCACATCCGTATTCTCAGCACTTTGGGTTGTTGAGGCAGGAGGATCACTTTAACCCAGTAGTTCAAGAATAACCTGGTCAACATAGTGAGATTCTGTCTCTACAAAAACAAAAACAAAATAAAACAAAATACGCATGGTGGCACCTGCCTGTAGTCCTAGCTACTCTTGCTGAGGTGGAAGGATGGCTTGCCCAGGAGTTTGAGGTTGTAGTGAACTATGATTGCATCACTGCATTTCAGCCTGTGCAACAGAGCAAGACCCTATGAGGTTATGTTTATCACCTACAATTTTGAACTACCATTATAGGCCACCAAGGACCAAAAAAAAGTAAATTTTGTTTATATTTGGGGATGTTTTTTCAAGTCTTATATTTGACATTAGAAAGGCTTGCTCCATTCAGCTAATGCATATGGAAGCATTTCTAAGCAGGATGTAAACATGACAAGCCTATTAACCTTTATGCTTAAAAATTGAAGTATAAACATTGGAAAAGTTATTGATTTTCTAATTGTTGTATCTTTTCCTCCCTCGACATAGGATTTATCATTTAGACTTTAGCCATAATTTATACAAGTTATTAGACTTAATCCCTTAATTGAGATCTTTTAGAATATACAAAACTCTTTATGGGTACCCAGTGAGTTATTTCTAAATACATCAATGCATTTTCTAGAGTCTTTGAAACAATCTGCCTGTGTCTCTACCAAAATCTCCATCTGCTCGAGATTTTTTATAAATAAAATTCTTATTTTGTACTGTGTAGAAATAGTTAAGATCAGTTAGTTTTTCTCTCTTCTTTAAACAAATGATGTAAAGGCTTCTTATTACAGTCATGAATAAGAATCACGGTTTAAATATAGTTTAAACATAACACACATAAAATTAAATTGACAAAGGATTTTGAGGAACATGTATTTGAAATATGGACTGCTCATTCTATTTACAGGAATTAGCACAAGATTTTAAAGTGATCTTACTTAGTGACTCCCAAATATACTGCCTACTATGCTTTTTTTTAAAGAAGGGAATTTATAGCAGCGTTCTAATAGATAGTACAGAACTCATACTTGCCCTACAACTTTCAGGATACATATTTGTTCTTGTTTTGAATTTTAAATGTTTTTTCACATTAACAGTTTCATTTCAAGTTAAAAAATATACTATTGTTATAAAAGGTGGGGCTAAACCTATCTTTTCAACATTGATGTTTAAAATGCATACTTATTTTTATCGGTGTATATTGCATTACTCCCAGGAGCTTAAGGCACATTTTTTTAACTCTAGTTGTCAAACACTTATCCTAACCATATCCTTGTAAGTTGCTATGCTGTTTAATTAAAATGGCAGTTAAACCTTATCCATTGCTCATAATATTAGGGAAAAATGAAAACAGGCTAAAACATCTCCTACTGCTCAAAGAATGTACACTCTTTTGCTAGCTATGATTCTTACTCCAACAAATTGCTTTTTATGGTAATTTGCTTTTAGCCCCCTCTAATAGTGTCTTAGAAATGATAATAACAATTTATATTTATACAGCATATTGTGATTTTCATACCACTTTAAAAAACATTTTATGGTAGCCTTCCAATAATCATATAAAATGTTCTTACTAATCATTTCTATAGTGTAACCCATTAAACATTAAAAAAAACTGAGAATTTATTGAGAGTACATGATGCCCATACTCCAAGGAGAAATTTTTAGCAAGTGACAAAATCAAAACTCTAACCAGGCTCACTTGCATGAACTTATTCTAATATTGTTCCACTAAACTGCCCTTACTTAAGAGAAGAAAATAAAAATGCCTTTCAGTAAAGCTTTCTGGAAGAGGATGAATTTGGTTAAAAGTTACTGTCATTATAGTCATGATTAAATCAAAGAATACTATACAAGGCTGTGTAGTAAGCGTGTGACTAACAGTTACCAATTATTAACTAGTTATCTGGCATTGAGCATGTGACCAAACAAGATTCTCAATTTTCTCCCCTCTAAAGTTGAAGCATTGCTTCAACAATCCCTATATGATGTAAAATTCTATGGACCAGAGCAGAACTAATTGAGTCTCAGATATTACTTCTATTTAGAAAATCAAATATTTTGTCAATAATATCAAAAATAATAACTAGTTAATTGATATGGTTTGCCAGTGTCCCCACCTAAATTTCATCTTGAATTGTAGCTCCCATAATCCCCACGTGTCATGGGAGGGACCAGGTGGAGATAATTGAATCATGAGGTGGTGGTCCCCATCCTGTTCTCGTGATAGTGAGTTAGTTCTCACGAGAGCTGATGGTTTTACAAGGGGCTTCCCCCTTCTCTGGGCACTTAGTCTCTCTCCTACCACCATGTGGAACTTGTTCATACAGATTGACCTTGATTTTATCATGACTGTGATGGCCACATAATCACATTTCTCTCAAAGCTCAAATAATTTAAAGTTCCAACAGCTTTAAGTTTAAACTATTTAATTTTACATTTTCTTATTGTTGAGTTTTGAGAGCTTTTCGTGTATTTTGAATACAAGTTTCTTATGAGATGTTTGTTTTGCAAATATTTTGTCCAGTCTGTCTTGTCTTTTCATCCTTGAATACAGTTTTTAATTAAAATATTATTAGATGCTTCATATATCACAATAAAAAATGGCTTTAGTTTGTGTTAAAATGCAGGTATACAGAGGTAGATCTAGCTGCAATCCCTGCATTTTCCAATTTTAGAGTAATTTTAGACAAATTATTTGTTTGTTTGTTTGTTTGTTTAGAGACAGGGTCTCCCTCTGTTACCCAGAATGGATTGCAGTGGCACAATCATGGCTGACTGCAGCCTCAACCTCCCAGGCTCAAGTGATCCTCCTGTCCCAGGCTCCTGAGTATCTGGTATTACAGGAACACAACACCACACTTGGCTAATTTTTTCTATTGTTTTGTAGAGATGGGGATCTTGCTATGTTGCTCGGACTGGCCTTGAACCCCCAGGCTCAAGGGATCCTCCTGCCTTGACCTCCCAAAGTGCTGGAATGACAGGCATGAGCCATTACAACTGGTCCAGAATAATTTTAAGCCATTGAGAAATAACTGTAAATAGCCACTGCCCTTCACAAAATGTATAATGGTTAATCTCTCACCCTACAGAGGTAAATTCTCCAGTACAAGATTCACCACATATCAGATGTGTGACCTTAGACAAGTTACTAGGCATCTTTATGTTTCAAATTCCTTTGTATGTAAAATGATGATAATAATGGTACCTGATTTGTAGATTACTGTGAAGATTACAGTAAAGAGTTTTAAAAAGTGTCTGGCACATAGTATGTACTCAGTGCTAGTAATCTTCTTAGGTAGTTGTCAAATAATTATATATAATGTAATGTATACATATAATAATATATTAAATACCATGGTAAGCAGAAAATACTTGATTTAAAAAGTCACATATTTTTGGAAGTAAGAGAATTTTAAAGTTTCATTTAATTTATTTGGGTGGCATTTGTTTCCAGTTGTAAAATTTATTTTCTTCACATATATTGAGATTGTATGGAAATTTAAATTTTTTCCCTGAAGGTTTTGATAATTTGAGTCTATAAAACAAATTGATAATATATTAACAGGAAAAATAAAAAGCATACACATTTTATTACATGCACCTGTGTGCACGGGATTCATACAAAATATAAAAAACTCAAATGGCCAGATGGTTGTCACTTTTATCATCTTATGGTTAAGGACTCTGAGCATGGCAAAAGGGGTTTTGGTGGCAAGACAGGAGGAAGAGAGAAGAGAAATTACCTGGGGAAAAGGCAGTCATGAAACCTCACCGTTAAGTAACCCTCAGAGAGAATCCGTGGTAGATAGTAATAAGTGTTTCCCTCAAACCTTTAAAAGTGTCAGACTCTCAGTTAATCTTTCCTAGATCTAGATGTGGGAGGGGGAACTTCAATGAAAGCCTGTTAGCATCTGTTGTTTACTTCACTTCATGCAGAAACAAAATTGACAAAATTGACAGATTCAAATCTCTCCAACAAAAGGCAACTTGTGGTTCCAGAACTTCTAAGAAGCCTTCTTGAAATATGTCAAGAAGTACATTTTGGAGTTAAATAATTTGGTTTGCTTTAAGAAGAATATTTCAGTTAGACTTTATAGATAGATAATCCTTGTATGTATGTAAACCAAATACTATATATATATATATATATATATATATATATATATATATATATAAGCTCTGATGATTCATAAAAGAAACACAGGAGGATATCATGGCTATATATAAGTAGAAATTTGGAATATGGGGTCTCAGCCATCTCCCAGGCATGCATAAATTAATACTTAAAGAACTTGTGTTTTTCGTCTGAAGAGGGAAGAAAATGGTGATTGAATAGATAACTGGGAGAAGAGTTTCCAGGTGTCTCTCCTCTATTAGATCAAATGACAGTTTTGAGCCCATAGAAAATGGAGCCAGAGCTGATGGTGTGATGCTGTTTTCATGGAAGCATTTATTTTTGGAGCTAAGTAAAAATGATAAATCTGCTGTTGGAGAATGGGACTTGCAGCATGACTTAGGTACAGGGGGGAAACTTGAAGATTTTTCCGTTTGAAGCCATCAAAGTTAGCATCCTTGGCAACCAAGTTTGAAAATGTTCTCTGTGTTTGGGCCATTTATATTTGCTAATTGGTGCCAAATAAAGTTAGGCTCCTACGTTCCCACAGAGACTGAGAGATAGTAGTGCTACCTCCTTCAGTGTTTACATTTCAAAGAAATGATTCCCAGGTCCTTAAGAGAGACATTTCCTGGGTTGTAAAACTGACAGGAGGCTGGGAAAATATTTGCATGCATTTCAGAGGGTGGGAGAAAGGATTTACAATGACAAGTTTTCCAAAGCAAATGCTCTAACAAACAGGAGGTCAGAGGCCCAGCTTTAAGAAGATACCTGTGTAAAATTTAGTCAAGCTGAAGGAAACTTTCAGGCCATCTTGGTCAAACATGAGTATTTGACTTGCACTAAATTTAAATATGTCAGACAGTTCTGATCATCCAAGGAATTGTGATGCTCAGTAAATTAACTCTAGAAAGGTTTCTGTTTGAGGTTCACCCAAACTTGGTGATAAAATGCTCACTTCAATAGCTGAAACTTGGTTCATGGGCTAATAGCATCAGTATCAACCATGGACTTGTTGGAAATACTAAGTCTCATATTCCACTTCAGCCTATGAAACAGGATCTGCCTTTTAACGAGATTCTCAGGTTATTTCTGTGCACCTTACGGTTTGAGACATACTGCCAGGTATTGTCTGCCTCTTTTTCATTTAACCCCATCAGACTTTTTCAATTCGTTCCAATTGCACAGGCCCTTTGGCTCAGATTTATAGGGTCACAACTAGTTAGCCTACAAAATGACAACATTATTGTGTATCAATAGGGAATAATGTATTCATGAAAACAACAGAATAACTGCCGTATTTTCTTGCAATCGATGTGATTTTAAAATATTCTTTTCTTTTTCAACTCAGTATAGAAGATAAAAAGTCAAGAGGTGAAAAACATCTTGTCCAGCCCTTTATACTAAGGGCTGTTTATCCTATCACATACACACCATACAATTATATACCATAATTCAAATTTAGCAGTTAAGATTCCATGATACACTCATAACTACTATGTGGCATGGAAGTATCTAATAGTAGAAGCTTAAAACAGCCTTTTATTATTGTCATATGACCAATCTGGCTTTCAGAACTCTAGAAAACTATTTTGAAATACCCCATGGGCACTCTCAAAGAGTGTGACTCCTTACCTGATATTGATATATGTATAGGTTAACAAATGTTGAACAGATTTCTTTCATTTAAATTTCAATTGAGGGCTTGTAAAGTCTTTTCCTTTGTGTCTCTTTGTGGCAAACTATTTTACACCTCAAACACTTAAATTATAGTAAAATTTGAAAATTACAGTGTGAAGAATCTTGAAATAAGAATTTTCAGATAACAATGTGACAGTATAGATACAAAGTCCATTTTGTGGAACTTAATACATTTTGGCGGCTTATTTTCAAATCTTTGACTTCTGAACTCAGTTTTGTTTGTTCCCTTTTTGTATGTTTTCTTACGTCCAGAAACTAAGCAAATGAATGAGCTAGCTGAGTAGTTGAAACCCAGATATAACTCAAAGGTCAAGTCAAAGATTCTCCTCTGGATACATCTAAGATGTCAATGACTTGATCATCCACAAATTTCACACTCTGTCTTAGTCCACTGTCTGTTACTTATAACAGAATACCTGAAACTGAATAATTTATAAAGAATACAAATTTATTTCTTGCAGCTATGAAGGCTGAGAAGTCCAAGGTCAAGGGGCCCTCACCTGGTGAAGGCCTTCTTGCTAGGGGGAACTCTGTAGAATCCTGAAGCAGCCCAGACCATCGCATGTTGAGGAGGCAGAGTATGCCAAAAGTCTTTCTCTTCTTATAAAGGCAGCAGTCCCACTCCATTTATAAACTGTGAGTCCATAACTCATTAATTCATTAATACCTGAATGAGTTAATCCACTGATAAAGGCAGAGCACTCATGACTCGATCATCTCTTAAAGGCCTCACCTCTCAATATTGTTGCATTGGGGATTAAATTTTAACATGCATTTTGGAGGGCACAAATAGTCAAACCATAGCACAAAACTCCCTTAAGGTTACAATTCTTTTTAAAGAAGCCAGTTTAAATCCTACCTCAAAATTGTTCTTCAAGTTTTATCTTGAGTCAATTTTATTTCTGCTGAAATGTATTCACTTTTGAGTGATGTGATTAGTCTAATACTTAGAGTATTAGTCTAATACTCTAATACTAATACTATTAGTATTACTACTACTACTAATAGTATTAGTCTAATACTTGAGTAATTAGTCTAATACTTAGACTAATTATTTACTTTCTTCAACCCTAAACCTATGTACATCCTAGGTTTAATGTGTATTTTATACTGTTCTATTCATCACATGTTAACAGTAGGGCCATTCAAAAATATGAATCTGCAGTTGTAAAGTGACTAAATTTACATATAATATTATTTATCTACATACAAAAATACTATTATAATTCTAACACACATATATCTAAAATAACCTTTGGCCTTGCTGTCATGTGAAAGTTAGTATGCCACTTTAACAGTTTATGTATCTGCAACCAATGGCTTATTAGTTCTCACCTCAACTAAAAAGACATTCCTCCCTTAATATCTTTCTGGGATCCTCCTAAGGGCAAAGTTGTTTCACAGCTAATGCACATTGAACTAACCTTTGTGAAACTTCTGCTTCAGCTGCTACTCCTCCCCTTCCTCTTAACCTTTGTGTGGTCTTATTCTTTCTGCCCATACTGAATCACCTAAACCAGTCTGCTCCTGTCAACCTTCTTGAGCTGCCTACAAGATAGCACTGTGGCAGTGACTACAAATAATCCCCAAACAGATATTTTTTTCTTCATGCCTTATATAATAACATCTTCATTTATTAGCATAGCCTTATGGCTGTCTCAAATGAAGACTGCATTTCTTAGCCTCCTTTTAAGCTGTGTATGGCCATTAACTAAGTTTTGACCAATGAGGTGTGAATCTAAGTAATACATGAAATTTTCAAGGCATACTTATACCTTTTCTAACCCCTTTCTCCCTTTCCCTATGACCTAATTAAAATGTAGAAGAACTGAAGAGCCATCTGAATCATGTAGATAAAGGCTATTTCCAAGAACAGCAGAGAGAAATTACAGGATTTAAAGAAAATTATACTGTGGAGTAACCATTTAAGCTTTAGACTGCCCAAACGTTAAGTTCATGAGTCTCTGTCAGTCAATCTCTCTCTCTCAAAGGTTCTATGGTCTTCTCTGTGATCTAATTTACACTGGGATATATTATGTGTGTGTGTGTGTGTGTGTGTGTGTGTACACTATATATATACATACACATGTATTTATATATGTGTATGTATATACACACTGGGATATATTATGTCTTTAAACTTTGTAGACAAGATTTGAAGTATGTTATGTAGAAATACTGTGACCTCTGAAAGTCAGATAATACGGCTAAATTCCATAAGTAGTAGAGATATTTACACACCAGTTATACATGAGTCTCTTAAATACTTTTGATGAGAAGCTCCTACTATACATATTTATTAGGAGAAATTATTATTCATCACAGACTGCCACTAGGAGTATAACCACACAAAAAATAATCATTAGTTTTAAACTACTAAAGATGTAAATATATAATATATCCAGTATTTTTCCTGAATCTACTTTTTAACTGGATAAATTTCTTTCAATAAATCAGCTAATCTCTAAGCTTCAGTTTCCAATTCTACAAAATCAAGATAGTAATCTTGCTTATTTTACAGGGTTGTTGTGGGCATCAAGTGGGAATATATGAGGGAAATTTTCAAGCTGTGAAACAAAGCATACACATTTGAGGATATGTTATAGAAACAAAACTTCTTGCCTATCGTACTTTCACAGTGGTAAGTTTCTCTTTATTTTCTTATTACATTTCAATACAAATGCTTCACTTTATGGTATGTTAAGCCAATAATGATGCCATTAATAATATATTTTATATTCTGAATGAATATTCATTCCTTTAACAGACATTGGCATATACTATGTACCAGACATCTTCAGGTAAGTGAAAGTTTGTACCCTTCAAGGAACTTAAATTCCAATAATGTATAAGGTAGAAAGAAAGGGGTAACTATTGCAAAATGAGACTTTCGATGATAGACTTAAATGTGGGATACTATTGGAACATAAAATTTTGCAGAAGGAGAGAGGCATTCTGAAGATATTAGGTTCCCACGTGAAGAAAGAGGTGTATTGGTTAACAATAGTCTTGATTCAAATAGCATAAACCTAAATACATCTAGCTCAATAAATAAATAAATAGTAGGAAAAGTGTTGTTATGTAATTGAACAGTCGATGAGTGTTTATTCCACGTCTTTGCTATTGTGACTAGTGCTGCAATAAACATAAATGCGCATGTACCTTTATAATAGAATGACTTACATTCGTTAGGTATATACTCAGTAATAGGATTGCTGGGTCAAATGGTATTTTTGGTTTTAGATCTTTGAGGAATTGCCACAATTGTCTTTTAGAATGGCTGAACTAATATATATTCTCATCAACAGTGTAAAAGCATTCCTATTTCTCCACAGCCTCTCCAGCATCTGTTGTTTCTTGACTTTTTAATATTCACCATTCTAAAGGCATGAGATGTTATTTCATTATGGTTTTAATTTGCATTTCCTAATGATCAGTGATGATGAGCATTTTTTCATATGTTTGTTGGCTGCATAAATGTCTTCTTTTGAGAAGTGTCAGCTCATATCCTTTGCCTACTTTTTCATGTTTTTTTTTTCTTGTAAATTTGTTTAAAATCCTTGTAAATTCTGGGTTATAGACATTTGTCAGATGGGTAGATTGCAAAAACTTTCTCCCATTCTGTAGGTTGCCTGTTTGCTGTGATGATAGTTTTTTTTTTTGTTTGTTTGTTATTTTTTTTTTGCTGCAGAGGCTCTTTCATTTAATTAGATCCCATTTGTCTATTTTAGCTTTTGTTGCAATTGCTTTTGGTGTTTTACTCATGAAGTTTTTGCCCATGCCCATGTCCTGAATGGCATTGCCTAGGTTTTCTTCCAGGGCTTTTATAGTTTTAGGTTTTACATTTAAGAGTTTAATTGCTCTTGAGTTAATTTTTGTATAAAGTGCAAGGAAGAGGTCTAGTTTCAGTCTCCCGCATATGGCTAATCGGCTTTCTCAGCACCATTCACTAAATAGGGAACCCTTTCCCCATTGCTTGTTTTCATTAGGTTTGTAGTATAGTTTGAAGTCAGGCAGCGTGATGCCTCCTGCTTTGATCTTTTTGCTTAGGATTGTTTTGACTATACAGGCTCCTTTTTGGTTCCATGTGAATTTTAAAGTAGTTTTTTCTGATTCTGTGAAGAATGTTAATGGTAGTTTGATAGGAATAGCATTGAATCTATAAATTACCTTGGGAAGTATGGCTATTTTCACAACATTCATTCTTTGTATCCATGAGGATAGAATGTTTTTCCATTTGTTTGTGTCCTCTCTTATTTTCTTGAGCAGTGGTTTGTAGATCTCCTTGAAGAGGTCCTTCACATTCCTTGTTATGTGTATTCCTAGGTATTTTATTCTCTTTGAAGCAATTGTGAATAGGAGTTAATTCATGATTTGGCTCTCTGCATGTCTATTGTTTGTGTATAGGGATGGCTGTGATTTTTGCCCATTGATTTTTGTATTCTGAGACTTTGCTAAAGTTGTTTATCAGCTTAAGAAGTTTTGGGCTGAGACAATGGGGTTTTCTAAATATACAATCATGTTGTTTGCAAACAGACAATTTGAGTTCCTCTCTCCCTATTTGAATACATTTATTTCTGTCTCTTGCCTGATTGCCCTGGCCAGAACGTCCAATACTATGTTGAATAGGAGTGGTGAGAGAGGGTGTTCTTGTTTTGTGCCGGTTTTCAAAGGGAAGGCTTCCAGCTTTTGCCCATTCAGTATGATATTTACTGTGGGTTTGTAACAAATCCCTTTTATTATTTTGAGATATGTTCCATCAATACCTAATTTATTGAGAATTTTTAACATGAAGCGATGTTAAATTTTATCAAAGGCTTCTTCTGCATCTATTGAGATAATCATGTGGTTTTTGTCGTTGGTTCTGTTTATTTGATGGATTATGTTTATTTATTTGCATATGTTGAACCAGCCTTACATCCCAGCGATGAAGCTGACTTGGTCATGTTGTATAAGCTTTTTGATATGCTGTTGGATTCAGTTTGCCAGTATGTTATTAAGGATTTTTGTATCGATGTTCATCAGGGATATTGGCCTGAAGTTTTCTTTTTTTGTTGTGTCTCTGACAGGTTTTGGTATTAGGATGATATTGACCTCATAAAATGAGTTAGAGAGGAGTCGCATCTTTTCAATTGTTTGGAATAGTTTCAGAAGAAATGGTACCAAGTCCTCTTTGTACCTCTGGGAGAATTTGGCTGTGAATTCGTCTGATCTTGGGCTTCTTTTTGGTTGGAGGCTATTTATTACTGCATCAATTTCAGAACTTGTTACTGGTCTATTCAGGGATTCAAATTCTCCCTGATTTAGTCTTGGGAGGGTGTATGTGCTCAAGAATTTATCCATTTCTTCTAGATTTTCTACTTTATTTGAGTAGAGGTGTTTAAAGTAGTCTCTAATGGTAATTTGTATTTCTGTGGGATCAGTGGTGATAACCCTTTTATTATTTTTTCTTGTGTTTATTGGATTCTTCTCTCTTTTTTCCTTATTAGTGTAGCTAGCAGTATATTTTATTAATTTTTTCAAAAAAACATCTCCTGGATTCATTGATTTTTTGAAGGGTTTTTTTTGTGTCTCTTTCTCCTTTAGCTCCATTCTGATTCTAGTTATTTCTTGTCTTCTGCTAGCTTTTAGATTTGTTTGCTCTTTCTTCTCTAGATCTCTTTTTATTTATTTATTTATTTATTTATTTATTTATTTATTTATTTATTTTTTTGAGACAGAGTCTCGCTCTGTTGCCCAGGCTGGAGTGCAGTGGCGTGATCTTGGCTCACTGCAACCTCTGCCTCCCAGGTTCAAGCAATTCTCCTACCTCAGCCTCCTGAGTAGCTGGGACTACAGGCGTGTGCCACCACACCTGGCTAATTTTTTGTATTTTTAATAGAGGAGTAGCTTCACCATATTAGCCAGGCTGGTCTCGATCTCCTGACCTTGTGATCTGCACACCTCAGCCTCCCAAAGTTCTGGGATTGCAGGCATGAGCCACCACGCCCAGCTTTCTCTAATTCTTTTAATTATAATGTTAGGGTATCTATTTGAGATCTTTCTAGCCTTTTGATGTGTGCATTTAGTGCTATAAATCTCCCTCTTAACAGTGGTTTAGCTGTGTCCCACAGATTGTTGTATATTGTCTCTTTGTTCTCATTGGTTTCAAAGAACTTCTTGATTTCTGCCTTCTTGATTTCAGCACTTTGGCTGTCCCTTGGTGGTGGGGGTGTGCTGCACTGAGGGGAAAACCATTCGTCTGGGTTGTCCACATTCCTCAGAGTTAACAGGCAAAAAGACTAAGTCAGCTGGTCTGTGGAGACTACAGCCACCTCTCC
The DNA here is from genome assembly GCF_000001405.40 of Homo sapiens. Classification (NCBI taxonomy): domain Eukaryota; kingdom Metazoa; phylum Chordata; class Mammalia; order Primates; family Hominidae; genus Homo; species Homo sapiens. The sequence goes on from NC_000012.12 coordinate 73,465,228, forward strand.
CTATAGGGGCTCAGGCCCAGGGAGATCAGAGTTCCTTCCTTTAGCCCCTGGCTAGAGTTGTTGGCATTCCTGCAGAGAGTCCCTGTAGCCACAGTATTGGCTGCCGCCCCTCCCTGAAGGAGCTCAGATGGTTTAGACAGCAGGCAGCCACAGCAGTGGTGATGGTTGCCCCTCCCCCTGGAACTCTGCAAGCTGAGGCAGATTCTAGCCCAGTGGCTATTGAGAATCTGAGTGGCTCCACGGTTGGGACCCAAGGCCCTGGTGTCGTGGGGTCACAAGTGAGATCTTTCAATTAGTGAGTTGCACAGTTCCGTGGAAAATGCACAGTTTTCCAGGCTTTGGTAACAAGCTCACTCACCGCCTCCCTTGGCCGGGGATGGGGGCTTGTCTGCCTTGTATGGCTCTCAGTTTGGCCACTGCACCACACTGCTCCTCCTTCCTTTCCACGCGTCAAACCAGCTGCCTAGTCAGTCCTGTGTAAAGTATTTCCATTTCCCTGATCATTAGTGATGTTGGGCATTTTTTCAGATGTTTGTTGGTCATTTGTATATCTTCTTTTGAGAATTGTTTGTTCATGTCCTTTGCACATTTTTTGAATGGATAATTTGTTTTTTTTTCTTGCTAATTTGTTTGAGTTCCTTGTAGATTCCAGACGTTATTAGAATTTTATGCATTTTATGTTTTCTTATATGTGGGTTTTTGGACAATTACTCCAGTGGGCCAACATTTCTCTTTCCCTTAGATTTTCATTTTCTCATTTGAGTGGAAATTCATTCCTTCAGCCCATCTGGAATTCACTCATGATCAGTGTCAAATAGAATATTCCTTTCTTCTCCACCTGAATACCTGGTGCACACAAAATAGATACATATTAAGTTACTATTGCTTGTAAAACGCTAAAGGTAATATTTTTAATATTATTTCAAAAATAGATATAACATTACATAGCCAAATTTATATATATCGTTCATCCAGAACTCCCAAGAATTTTGTCAGGACTCATTTTTCCTACAGTAGGTCTATTCATTATTAGTACATTCTAATTTTTATAGAAGGGATAGTCAATAATTTCCATTGCCTCTGCAGCATCCTTCTCCCATCCCCATTTCCATCAGGCCTGACTTCAGTTTGGGGAGCAATATGGTCCTGTTGAGACTAACTCCTCTTCTGGCTTCAGTGGTAGAAAAAATAGCCTTATCTAAACCAGTATTGTGGCCTGAATTGTGTACTCTCAAAATTTATATGTTAAAATCCTAATTCACTATACTTCAAAATGTGACTGTATTTAGAGATAGGGTCTTTAAAAAGGTAATTAAATTAAAATGAGGCCAAATGGGTAGGCCCTAATTCAATGTGGCTGATGCCCTTATAAGAAGAGGAGACTAAGACACAAAGAGACAGAGAGAAGACCATGGGAAAACACAGAGAGAAGATGGCCATCTAGCAGCCAGGAAAGAGGCCTTCAGAATAAATCAACACTGAGAACACCTTGACCTTGAACTCCTAGCCTCTATAATCATAAGAAAATAAGTTTCTGTTGTTTAGGCAACCCCGTCAGGGGTACTTTGTTGTAACAGTCACAGCAAACTAACTCAGCCAGGTAGTTATTGGTCCAGTGGTGGGTAGGAGATCTAAGTAATTTGGGAGTACATCTTAGCACTTTTGTTTAAAATAGGGTGAAAAAGACATTCCCTCTTTCTTACTGAGAATAATGAGGAAGGATGTCATGCTAAGTGCTACCAAAATTCATCTTAGTATCATAAGAGAGGCTTCCCTTGGGATGAAACCAATCCCATAAAGACAGAATGTTGTCAGATTCTACCAAATCTACTTATATATGTAATTTATTTTTTATTTATTTATTTATTTTATTTATTTATTTTTTTGAGATGGAGTTTCACTCCTGTTGCCCAGGCTGGGGTGCAATGGTGCGATCTTGGCTTACCGCAACCTCTGCCTCCCAGGTTTAAGCAATTGTCCTGCCTCAGCCACCCGAGTAGCTGGGATTACAGGCAGGTGCCACCACACCTGGCTAATTTTGTATTTTTAGTAGATATGGGGTTTCTCCATGTTGGTCAGTCTGATCTTAATCTCCCAACCTCAGGTGATCTGCCCACCTCAGCCTCCCAAAGTGCTGGGATTACAGGCATGAGCCACTGTGCATGGCCACTGTCTACTTGTATATTTTTAAGTTAGGTAAGCCAATAAGTTATTTACAGTTGAGCCATATAAAATTACTGATATTTGACCATTTTTGATTATAATTAGCTGGGCTTGGTGGTGTGTGCCTGTAATCCCAGCTACACTGAGGAGGGAGGACTGCTTGAGCCCCGGAGTTAGAAGCTGCAGTGAGCTATGATTGCACCATTGCATTCTAGTGGGGGCAGAGTGAGACCTGCCTCTAAAAAAACAAACAAACAAAAATTTTTTGTGAGCAAAATATTCATTAACAAATCCTGAATGCATTGCTCTATTGCTTGGGCATCCAGTAGGTGACCAAAGTTCATGTTGATCAACTGAATACATTGATTAATCTAGAACTTCTGTTACAGCTGATAAAATTGTCTTAAATGAAGTGATGGGCACATAAAGGTCTATACCTTTGAGAATTTTTATCTTGTTAAACAGCTACAAAGACATAAATTTAATTCTAAATCAAAGTAAAAATTATTAATTATTCAAGGAGTATATTGATACTAGTGGAATATTTGATGAAATAATTTGAAAGAAATTCTTCAGTTTGACTGTAAAGATATAAAGGCAATTATTGGTAAATGTACCACTAAATTTATTACTCTTAATATAAACTTTGATCTCTTTCTTCATATCTGATGTCTATTTGCTTTTCATTCATTCATTCAACAAATATTTAGTAACTATTTTCTGTCTATTAAGCACTGTGAAACACACAGGTATAAACAGGTAAACAAAATGAACAAAGAACCTGGTAAAAGTTGCTTATTGCATAATTGAATGAGACATTACCCAAAGGAATACAAATATTCACACGCAAATGAATACACACAAACACACACACACATATATATACATACAGACATAAAACTTACTGTAGTAAATAACTCTTTTATACTTACAGAAGCTCTATCTAAGCTAACTCTGATTCAACAAATTAGGGTAGGGATGGTACTCAGAAAATCTATGTCCTTGTCCACAATAATTGTTCATGGATAGACATGTAATCCAAGCTGAGGTATCACAAGCCTTCCATAAGTCTTTGCTGGAGGTAGTCATGAGAAAATACCATCTTTTCTCAGTAGCTTCAGCTGTAATGAAGATTTATGCCTAGAATTGCTGGTTACCATTATATACACCATAAAAAGGGAGATTTCAATTGAGAGTAAAGTAAATGCAAAAGAAAGTATATGGGGCATGGGGGGCAGGGGGCAAAGCCAAGATGGCCAACTGGAAGCAGTGGCAATCAGAGGCTCCCATTGCAAAGATCAAAAACGGTGTGAATCCCACACCAGCAACTGAGGTATTTAGGTTCTGTCATTAGTCCTTTGTCCAATGTGTAGATTGTGAATATTTTCTGCCACGCTGTGAGTTGTCTGTTTACTCTGCTGATTGTTTCTTTAGCTGTGCAGAAACTTTTAGTTTAATTAAGTTAATTAGTTAACTTTTAGTTTAAGTATTTAGTTTAATAATTTAGTTTAATTTATCATTGTTTTTCTTGCACTTGATTTGGGTTCTTGGTCATGAAGTCTTTGCGTAAGCCAGTGTCTGGAAGGGTTTTTCCAATGTTCTTTTCTATAATTTTCATGGTTTCAGGTCTTAGATTTAAGTCCTTGATCCATCTTGAGTTGATTTTTGTATAAGGTGAGAGACGAGTATCACATTTTATTCTTCTACATGTGGCTTGCCGATTATCCCAGCACCATCTGTTGAATAGTGTGTCCTCTCCCCACTTTATGTTTTTGTTTGCTTTGTTGAAGATCAGTTGGCTGCAAGTATTTGGCTTGGTTTCTGGGTTCTCTATTCTGTTCCATTGGTCTATATGCCTATTTTTATACCAGTATCATGCTGTTTTGGTGACTACGGCCTTACAGTATAGTTTGAAGTCAAGTAATGTGATGCCTCAGGCTTTGTTCTTTCTGCTTAGTTTTGCTTTGGCTATGTGGGCTCTTTTTTGTTTCCATATGAATTTTAGGATTCTTTTTTCTAGTTCTGTGAAGAATGATTGTGATGTTTTGATGGGAATTGCACTGTATTTGTAGATTGCTTTTGGCAGTGTGATCATCTTCACAATATTGATTCTATCCATCCATGAACATGGGATGTGTTTTCATTTGTTTGTATTGTGCATAATGTCTTTCAACAGTGTTTTTACTTTTCCTTGTAGAGGTCTTTCACCTCCTTGGTTAGGTATATTTCTAAATATTTTATTATATTTTCAGCTATTATAAAAGTTGTTGAGTTTTTTATTTGAATCTCAGCTTGGTTGCTGTTGGTGTATAGCAGAGCTACTGATTTGTGTACATTAATTTTGTATCCTGAAACTTTGCTGAATTCATTTATCAGTTGTAGGAGCTTTCTGGAGGAGTCTTTAGGTTTTTCCAGGTATATGATAATATGATCAGCAAACAGTGATAGTTCAACTTCCTCTTTACAGATTTGGATACCCTTTATACCACCTTTCTCCTGCAAGAATGGCCATAGTCAAAAAATAAAAAAAAATAGATGTTGGCAGGGATGCAGTGAAAAGTGAACATTTTTACACTGCTGATGGGAATGTAAACTAGTACAACCATTATGGAAAACAGTGTGGAGAGTCCTTAAATAACTAAAAGTAGAACTACCATTTGATCCAGCAATCACACTACTAGGTATCTACACAGAGGAAAAAAAGGCACTATATGAAAAAGATACTTGCACATGCATGTTTATAGCAGCACAATTTGCAATTGCAAAAAACATGGAACCAACCCAAATGGAACGAACCCAAATATATATATACACATAGATGTATATATATATATATATATATACACATAGATGTGTATATATATATATATACACATAGATGTATATATATATACACACACATAGATATATATATACACACATATATATGTATATGTATATATATATATACACACATATATATGTATATGTATATATATATACACACATATATATGTATATGTATATATATATATACACACATACATATATATGTATATGTATATATATATATACACACACACACACACACACACATATACATACACCATGGAATACTACTCAGCCATTAAAAAAACAATGAAATAATGACATTTACAGCAACCTAGATGGAATTGGAGACCATTATTCTAAGTCAAGTAACTAAGGAATGGAAAACCAAACATTGTATCTTCTCACTTTCTCACTCATACATGGGAGCTAAGCTACCAGGATGCAAAAGCATAAGAATGACACAATGGACTTTGGAGACTTGGGAGAAAGGGCAGGAGGGGGGTTGAGGGATAAAAGACTACCAACTGGGTACAGTGTATACTGCTCGGGTGATGGGTACACCAAAATCTCACAAATCACCACTAAGGAACTTACTGATATAACCAAACACCACCTGTTGGCCCCAAAACCTATGGAAATAAACAAAAAATAAAGATTAAAAAAAATCTAAGACAATAAAAATTAGAACTGTAAAGTAAATTGGATTTAGTCAAAACTCTGAAGTTTATATACTTAGAGAAATTTAAAGTTGAAAGGAACCTATGGAATTATGCAGTCCAGCACTATTCTATAAAATTTTCTGTGATCATAGAAATGGTATATATTTGCATTTTCTCTTACAGTAGCCACCCGTCAAATGTGGCCATTAAACCCTTGAAATGTGGCTAGTGTGACTGAGAAACTTAATGTTTTTATTTTATTTAATGTCAATTAATTTAAATTTAAATAGTCACATGTGTCTAGTTACTATTATAGTATATAAAACAGATCTAGAAAAACTAATAATCATCATAATAGACAACACTTGTTGGCTTATTTCTATGTATCGTACTAAATGCTGACAAGTATACTTTCATAAGAAACCCTTTAGGCAAGAACTATTATTATTATGCTAAATTTTTAAGTGAGGATACCAAGGCTTAGAGTGACTGACTTCTCAGTATTGAGACAGATGATCTGACTCCAAAGCTTGAAACCAGTATGTTTTACCTTGTAGGTAAATAAACCAACTTTGGTGAATGTAAATAACCTCCTAAAATCTCACAGATTTTTTGTGCCAGAGCGAAGACTGTAACTGAGAGCATTATTTAGCAACCACTGGGCTTCAGTTTTCAAACTTAATGTAATTCAAGTCTGTGCATTTATGGGAATGTCTAGAAAATGTCAGCCTCTAGATAATAGAGATATTAACAAACAATGTAAATATTTTTAGTTATATTAAAGTTGAGTGAGACTATATATAATAAAAATGATAAATGTAGGGGCCGGGCACGGTGGTTTATGCCTGTAATCCCAGAACTTTGAGGCCGAGACGGGTGGATCATGAGGTCAGGAGATCGAGACCATCTTGGCTAACGCGGTGAAACCCCGTCTCTACTAAAAATATATTAAAAAAAGTAGCCGGGCATGGTGGCAGGTGCCTGTAGTCCCAGCTACTGGGGAGGCTGAGGCAGGAGAATGGCATGAACCCAGGAGGCGGAGCTTTCAGCGAGCAGAGATCGCGCCACTGCACTCCAGCCTGGGCGATAGAGCAAGACTCCGCCTCAAAAAAAAAAAAAAAGATAAATGTAAATTACATAGTAGGTTAGAGCGTAATAGATAATAACAAAAAGGAAAAAAGAAACAGTAGGGAAAAGCTGGGAGTTATGAATGCTGAGGTTATGGTGATAGTTGCAGTTTTAAATAGGATAAGGTAAACTTTAGTGAGAAGGTAGAATTTGAGCAAGTCCCTCAAGGAAGTAAAATAGTCATAAAGATAACTAATGAAAAATTATTTGAGGCACAAGGAATAGCTATAAAACGTTTTTAGGCATGTATTTCCCGAGCAAATTCATGTAACAGCAAAGAGGCCAGTGTGGCTGGAGCAGGAGTGAAAAGGGAAGTTAAGAGAAGCTGAAGGGCAAGATCTTGGTGTGGAGAACTGAAGGATGTTATAACAACTTTTACCTGAGTGAAATTAGGTTTCTTTGTGTATTTTGAGTGTAGAGCTGGCTGTATCTGACTCACTCTTTTGAAAAGATTGCTCTAATTGTTGTTTGGGGCCAAAAGTGAGGTTGCTGGAGCCCTTCAGCAGCAGAACACGACTCTAGGGGTGGGGCTCAACTCTGGACCAGATTGAAGACTGGCTGACATATTCACCAGCTTACCCATTTCCTGGCAGCAACCCTGAAGTTACCACCCTTTCTCTAGAAATTTCTGAATAACCTGACCCTAATTTGCATGTAATAAAGTGAATATAGATGTGACAGCAGAACTGCCTGTGAGCTGCTATCTTCAACATACTGCCTTTGGGATAGCCCTGCTCTGCAATAGTAGTCACAGAGCTGTAATGCTGCTGCCTCAATTAGCCTGTTTATTTAACTCGCCCTTGAATTTCTGCCTGGGCAAAATCAACAACCTTTTCAGACAGAGCATCAATTTGGGGGCTTTCCTGCCCTGAAACAAAAGGAGACCAGTTTAGACTACTTGGATAATTGAGATGATTAATGATTGTAGCTCATGTGTTCGTCCCCTCTCAGACTGCTACAAAGAAATATCTGAGCCTGGGGTAATTTATGAAGAAAAGAGGTTTAATTGGCTCAATGGTTCTGCAGGCTGTACAGGTAGCATGACATTGGCATCTACTCAGTTTCTGGGGAGGTCTTAGGAAACTTACACTCATGGTAGAAGGTGAAGGCGGATCAGGCACATCACACAGCTAGAGTAGGAGCAAGAGAGAGCCGGGCAAGTGCCACACACTTTCAGATCTAGTGAGAACTCACTAATTGTCAGGAGAACAGCACTATGGGGATGGTGCTAAGCCATTCATGAGAAACTACCCCTATGATCTAATCATCTCCCACCAGACCCTACCTCTAACAATGGGGATTACAATTTGATATAAGATTTGGGCAGGGGCACAAATTCAAATTATATCAGCTCACTACAGCTGTAAAATGTGGTCAGATCATGAGTATGTTTTGAAGACAGAACTAATTGAACTTTCTATAGGATGTAAGGTAAGAGAAAAGGAAAGGAATAAATGACTAATTTTGGTGGGGCCTCAAAAGATAGAAGAAAGGGGTTGACATCAACCATGATACTGAAGGCTGCAAGTGGTGCACATTTGGGGAAGAAGTTCAGGAGTTCAAATTTGCATTTATTGAGTTTGATATGTCTAAAAGTTGTGAAATAGAGATAACAAAAAAGCAGTTGAATCTAGGATGTTGAGAGTTATCTAGGCCAAATATATAAATTTTGGAAGAGTCAGCATATAGATGATATTTAAACCATCAGATTAGTTCATATAAGAGTGAAAATAAGAAGACCAAGAATTAAGCCATGTGATACTGCACCATTATGAAGTCCAGGGAGAAGAGCAAAATACCAGCAAAGGAGATGAGACAGAGCAGTCACTGCAGTGAGAGAAAAACCAAGAATGTTGTGTCCTAAAAGCCAGGAAAAGACTATATATCAAGGATGAGGGAATGATCAATTTCATCAAATGCTGATAATATGTCAATATGAAACTAGCAATTATCCATTGGCAACCTAGAAATCACTGGATGTATCATTAAGATCAGTTATGTTTGAGCTTAAGCATGAACACTTGATTGAAGTGAGTTTAGGAAAGAATAAAGAAGAGGAATTGAAAATGACAATTTTTGTGCAATTAGGGCAGTAATTTGGCAGGAAATTGGATATAAGCAAAGGTATTTGTTTGTTTTATGTTTTGTTTTGTTTTTGTTTTTTTCAAGACAGAGTCTCACTGCAATGTCCAGACTGGAATGCAATGGAGTGATCTCAGCTCACTGCAACCTCCACTTCCTGGGTTCAAGCAATTCTCTTGCCTCACCCTCCCCAGTAGCTGGGACTACAGCCATGCACCACCATGCCTGGCTACTTTTTGTATTTTTAGTAGAGACAAGGCTTCACCAAGTTGGCCAGGTTGGTCTTTTTTGAAAATTAAAATAATATTTTCATGTTGTTGGAAAGAAACTGGGAGAAAGCAAAAAAAAAAAAAAAAAAAAAAGGTACCCAAGGGAAAAAGACAGTATTGCTAGAGCAAAATCGTTGAAAAACTGAGAAGGGATGGAATTCGGTGCCTGGATGTAAAGATTGGCTTGGGGGAATATAAATAGTTCATCTAAAGTATGGAACAGGAAAATAGAGATGCTGCTGAGTAGAAAGATTTAAAAAATCAACTTGGTTCCTTCTAGACCAAAGCAAGACAGTTTTTACATAGTCTCAAAATTATTCAAATCACTCTCATTTTTAAGTTGTAGCCATTTGCTTATTCCTTTGACTTTCTTAGGAAAAATCCCTATTCTGGGTTGTGGAAACATGTTTATGGTAGGCATTGCTAGTAGATTATGTAAAATATATTTTCCCTTTTTTCTTACCAAGAAAATCTCAGTTTTGTTTGGTCGATCTTTTGCACTCTCTGGAAAAGTTAAAACCCTTTTGAAGTGAGTGATGGCATTGCCCCACAGTCCTGGCCAATGAAATACAGCCTGAATTTATCTGGGAAAAAATTTATATTTTCTAATATATGCTTTCTACAGTTTTTCTTCATTCTTATAATGAATATGCACTAGATGTTGTTACTGAAGCAAGAATTCTACAGCCATGAGTTGGTAAGTATGAGAATGAAGGCATACATATGAAGAAAAGTGGACTACAAAGATGGAAAGAGCCGAGGTCCCTAATAGTATTATTGAAGCACCATTCCAGCTGTGGAATGTCTAACTCTATGCCTTTTTATTGCCAGCCTTTTTATTGCCACTGTAGGAGGGTTTTCAAAATTTCTAGCCAGTTTCTTTTAAAATTTTCCTAAGTACTTTGGGCATTCAGAGTTGTTAATTCTGTGAAATCTGTGTGACATGGATATACTTTTCCTGAGGCTCTCTCTTTGATCTCTTAGATCGATCCTGAGAATCGGTTCAGAAAAAGGGCAAGACTTGTGCCAGGAACAAGCAGAACAAAACTTAGTTTTAGGTATTTCTAATATCTCTCTTCTCAAAAGGGAAGCCTGCCTATAGGAAGTCAGGTTCTTTTTTCCATAAAGAAAGGAGAGTACATTTTCCTAGAGTCAAATATAATTTCATTGTTGCCTCTTCTCTCTGAATTTGAATGCCTGCAAACTGCCATGTGCATGCGTGCATGCACAAACACACACACGCACACACAGATATAAGAAGACAAAATCAAACTTACATTTTACTGAATTTCAGTAAGAGTCTACGTAACCAATTTTTCCATATTAATGGAATCAAATACAATAAGAAAAGGACTGGATGTAATAAAAGATAAACTAAAGAAGATTAGCATTAAAATAAAAACAGAAAGCCATTTTTCAGAATATTCATTAAATTTAATCTCATTATGTTTGGGTTAAATATGTCTGTAACAGAAAATGGGAGAGCAAGCAATGTTTAGAAATTTCCTCTTCCCTCTTATATATGATAACATATGTACTACATAATATATATTAATATAATGTAGTATAATATATAAGTATAATATAAGGGGACCAATAATATAAAATATTATAGGTAAATGCTTCATTTATAGAAATAAACCCTTTTTTCATATATATAGTGTGTGTGTGTGTGTGTGTGTGTGTTGTTGTATGACAGTTCTCTAACGGTCATTCACATTTCTAAACATCTCGTGATAGCTTTTGGGTTAGGTTCTGTACTATATTTTTAAAGATGTTTGTACAGCAAACAACTGAGGATGATAGAGACAGTTTATTTCTCTGACGCAAGGGCAGATTTGTGCACATCCAGAACAATAAATGTAGTGTCTTACTCTGGGGCAATGGCTGGATGGATTTACTCGCAGCCCCATTATAAGATGGGGAGTTTCTTAAGCCCAGGGTGCCTAATATGTGATGCGGACCTCTACACGTTCAATATCCTAGGCTGGTCTACATTATTCCTTTAAGACTTAGATGATAAAAGAAACCAATGAAAACATGAAGCATGTGCTGCCTGCTGTGCCATGAATAGTAAGGTATTTTGTATCTCACCCAGGAGTCTTATGTCTTCTGCCAATATTCTTGAAAACATGGCATCCTAACATGTGAGCTTGCAAGTAGTAAAATATCCAAATCCTTCAGACTTCTTGGCATATTGACAGTATTATTTGACGTCTTCACCTTAGTACCCACATGGACCTAACAAAATACTCCCCACCTTTGCCTCTTAAAACTTTCTGAACACTGTAGTAAAGAAATTTATAATACTAACACTTACCTTCTCCATGAAACCTCAACTGGTACTATGTTCTGAATTAATCACTTGTATTCTTTCTTCATTTAGAACTTTGCAAATAACATGTCATTTAACTAATTCCATTCTTCCTAATGTTAACTCAGTATTGATGTCTTTCTATTTGACTGTGGATATACTGTGAGGAAGTGTGACATTTTGTTAATCTTGCATTTCCCAAAGTACTTTGCTCAAAGCTTTACCTAGACATAGTATAACACATTTGTTAAATTATTGGATAATTATATTACTAAAAAGGCATTCTTGACTATTGAATTCAATAAACAATATATTTATGTAGCACTTTAGTTTCAAACAGCTCTCATATTCTATTGAATGTAATTAATTTTATTCTTACATTCCTGTGCAATAGGAATATTATAATCTAAGGAAAAAAGGGGCTGCACGCACTCAACTCTTCTAATTCCTGACTTCATGTATTTTTTTGGTCAGTACTTTGAAAGCTACCTAGTTTGCTTTATTTTGAATTGTGTAATTGTCATAAATAGTAAATAAAGTTGGAATTATATTTTTAAATTATTTTTTCCTATCTCACTTTGCCTCTAGAATTTCTTCCAGGAAAATTCAAAGCCATTATTCAATTTAAGAAATGTTACAAGAAGAAAATGACTAAAAAGGTCTAGGACTGTGCATTATAAGCCTTCTAAGAAGAGAGAGACAGTTCTCTTTATATGCAAAGGTAAAAGAAAATGTCAAAATTATGTTAATAAGGAGTAATATTAACACAACATTATAGCAGATTAAAAGTCAGGAATGAGAATTTTATGGGAAAATGTGTCATGTTGTAAATGATGTACATTTTCTGCTTTAATTGTTATTATTCTTTTAATCTACCTTGATAATGGTCTTAATAATCACTACATGATTCCTAAAGGAGAATAGACATGAGTACAATTATCAAGAAATAATAGGATTTAGAACATAATATGCTGGCTCTTGTGTTTTTAATTAACATATTTCATTTTTCACTGAGATATTCCAGTGAGTATTAAGTTGTTTGATGAAAAGAGAATCCCCCCTCTATTTATGATTGTGTTATGTATATGTTTATATGTGTGCATGTTTGTGAAGTGGGAGGCAGAAGGATAGCAGTAGAGAGTTTGTGCATGCAGCAATGTTTACCAACACTGTTGAACCACTGATTATTCTGAATCACAATCAGATGATAACATAAGACACAGTATTGATTCAGGTACTATATACGGCAAAGCCAAATTAAGGGTAAAATAAAAGCCTATGAAAATGAGTATTCATATATTACCTCTGGATTAGAAAATATCCAAGGTAATTTAGAAAATAAATTTCTTTACAACAGAAATAATAAAAGAACTGAGTAGTAAGTAGCATCTTATGATCAAAAATTAAACAGAAGTTTAGAATGGAACTTTATGAGTTAGAAATTCTTAATATTTTTCATGAAAAACTTACCTATTTTACATAAATTATGGAGATATGATAGAATGTTTGCATGCAGCTTCTGGAAAGACATTTTTTCTAAAATACAGACAGTGTATATTTAATGTCACCAAAAAACATGCTGATAGTGAAATTTTTTTAAATTACCTTTTCCCTTTATTTTATTACATTTCAAAGAAAAAGACATAACAAACTTTGAGTAAGTAGCCTTAAAAGTAAATCGTATTTTTATTTCAAAGATATCCCACATTGATTAAAGCTGTTCTGGTGAATCTCTTCTTTTGAATTCATAGAAGTACATAAAAATCATGTGTGTCACTTAAAGCACTGGTTTTCTTTCATTCCCTCCAAATATGAGAGAATTTGTTACACTGGTTACCCAACATAGTTACTTATATAATTCTGTATGAGTTTTTATATTTCTCCCAAATCAGACACATTGTCCCAAACAACATTTTTCATATAATCAATGAAACCCTTCAAAATGATATGCAGAAAATTCTAGTATCTCCATTTGCTCAAACTCTTGTTCCATCTATCCATCTGTTTATCTATCCATCTATCTACCATCTATCTATCTATCTACCTATCTCTATCATCTATCTAATGTATCTTCTACCGACTTTATGCTCATATGGTGATATGATTAGCACATATCTCTTCATCTGGCATGACTTAAAATAGGCCCCTTGTTTTCTGTTGTCATAGGTCTGTCAAGGTCACAGGGGATACCAGTTGAAAACAGGTGTTCTCCTCCACATATGTTGTGAAGACTCACTCCTTGCAGCAACAGCTCCTCAGGAAACCTTTTCTCACCAGGGATGCTCATTTGTACTTACCCTTTGCCACTTAAGGTCTCAGCAAAAGGCAAAAACTAGCTTTAATCTGGTTTGAAGCTAAAACTCCTCAATTCACACCCATTCTTTCAGCTGCTGCTGCCAAAATATGCACAGTGAGCTGGGGTTGTGAGGTCAGAAGGGCCTCCAGAAGTCCTCTGCTTTGTTAAAACAAACCTCTCCCACCAAGCCATCAAGGTCCTGGCAAATGTGTCCAGCCCCTTTTTGCCACCATCTTTAGGAAAAAGAACACTGAAAGAGGTATGCTTTTTCAACATCCAAAAAAAAAGTTCCTATAATATCTTTCTTTCCAGGGCAATAAGTGTCTACTTGGATTATATTTACATAACTAAGAAGGGTCATTAAAGTGATTCTTCCTAGAATAAAAAATGTCTCCCAGGTGATTGAATCCACATCTAAATTTAAAAGCAGGTGGCAATTTTGAAACTGAGTCTCTCTTGGCAGATAGTGGTTTGTTTTTCTTTGAAAGCACATCTTGAGGCATTTCCACTAAGACATTAAGTTCTTTTTTAAAAAAATTTAATATTATTTTCTTCTAAAAAATGGGATACATGTACATGTGCAGAATGGGATACATGTGCACTATCTATACATAAGTATAGATAGTGAAATTTTAAAAATATATACACCTGTTTTTATAATGACACTTTTAGTGAAATAGAAAGGTGAATTTAACAGTAAAATGACATTATTTTTATAATTAATATTTTTGAAGTAAAATTAATTTGACAGTTGTTCTCTGGAAAAAACAGCCCAGTGTGTAAACAATCCCTTATAAGTATACATATTTTTATGACAGAAGACTGTCATTTATTTGTGAATTTGGATCATGTGAATAAATAAGATAGATTTATTTTGTGAATGTAGATCAGAGGACTGGCACTCAAATGCCAACGTAGCCCAAGCTGGTGATACAGGTAACCTGGAGTGGCTCTGAATTATCCAGGCCCTTTCTGAAGATGAAGCCACCACTGAGCTCCAACTGGACTGTAATTCAAATATGCAAAAACACATTATTCACTCTTAACTCCATTCATTCCTTATACTCTATATTCAACTCATCAGAAAATCCTTTTTTTTCCCTTCTACTTTAAGAATGTATCTGAAATCATTACAATAGCTTCCTAATAGATATCTCTGTGTCTGCCTTTCCAGTTACCAAAAACTAAACAAAAGACAGGAATTCCTTTATAAGTCAGGTTATATTCTTCTTTAGTCAAAACTCCCTGGTAACACTCAAAGTAAAAGGCAAAACTTTTACAATGGCCCATAAAGTCTCACATGTTCTGATCCCCTTTTACCTCTCTGATCTCATGTACCTTGCTCACACCACTTTAGTCACAGTGACCTATTTCCTATTGCTGGAACATAACAGAAGCACTCATTTAGCAAAATCTTTGACTTTCTTATTCCCGGTGCTTAGGAAGATCTTTTTCCTTCCTCTTATACAAGGCTATCTCCACATAATCTGGTAAAAAATCAACTGGCACAACACCAACTGGTTTTATGGTAATACAATTCTGATGCTAACCTCCCAGAGTTGGCATCAGAATCCACAAGTTAGGGGCACTCCATAAGACTGCCTTTACTTCAGATGCCTGCCACACTTCAGGGATCACCAAGCAACCTGTACTTCTGAACAACTGGCTATAAATTTAGGGGTTCTCATGACTTCCTCAGGTTCAATAATTTACTAAAATGACTCACAGAACTCAGAATAGCATTGTACGTAGGATGAGGCCTGGGAGCGTCCTAAATGCAGAACTTCTATGGCTTCTTTCTGCGCAGGCCAGGTGCATCATTGCTGCACACACCAATGTGTTTGCAAGAGAGAACTCCGAGAAACTTTAGTGTTCAGCATTTTTGGGGGGGCTTTATTATGTAGGAATGCTTGATAAAACCATTGACCACATGATTGACCTTAATGGCTAGCCTCCCTCCTTTCTGTGGAGGTTGGGCTGGACCAAAGTCTCAGTCTTCTAATTACACAGCTGCTGTTTCTGGTGACCAGTTCCCATCCTGAAGCTAACTAATGGCCCACCATGAGCAATCTCATGAGTGTAACAGAGACACTTCTATTACTCATGAAACTCCAGGGATTTTAGAAGCTCTATGCCAGAAACCTAGGACAGAGACAAGAATATGTTTTATTATACCACATCTCAAAGCCTCCAAGTTTTATTTCAAATATCACATTTGCAGGGAGCCTTTCCCTGACCGACTGTCATAAACAATCTGACTCAAGTTTTAAAATAGTTGACTACTGAGTACCTTTGAAACTTTTACTTCCATTTTTCTTTGGTCCACATCTGGACAGGCTGACAAGAAAGCCCATGTATGCCTCCTCCTCTAGCATCTGTGAGAAATTTAAACTTTGCAAATCTTCAACTTGCACATGGGAACTTTTCTTCATTCCCACCCTTTACCAACTAGAAACACCTATACCTCTCCATCTAAGGGAGGAGACCACCCCTCATATTGTCTTATGCCCAATTTCTGCCTCCAAAGAAAGAAGAAGTAAAAACTAAAAGGCAGAAATGAAATCCACAAGCAGACAGCCTGGCGCCACACCCTGGGCCTGGTAGTTAAAGGTCAATCACTGACCTAATCAGTTATGTTATCTATAGATTACAGACATTGTATAGAAAAGCACTGTGAGAATCCCTGTCCTGTTCTGTTCCCTTCTAATTACCGGTGCATGCAGGCCCCAGTCATGTACCCACTGCTTGCTCAATCGATCATGACCCTCTCACATGGACCCCCTTAGGGTTGTAAGCCCTTAAGAGGGGCAGGAATTGCTCACTCGAGGAGCTCGGTGAGTCTTGCTGATGCTCCCGGCCAAATAAAGCCCTTCCTTCTTTAACTCGGTGTCTGAGGGGTTTTGTCTGCAGCTGGTCCTGCTACACATCTACCTCCATTAAGCTAGCCAAGCCATCTTATGCCCACTCTTCTCTCCCTCTGGAGTCCCTTGTGTGAGTAATAAGCTTTCTCTCAAATTTATTTGGTGTGTGGAGTGTCAATAGTCACAATACCTCAACCACGTTTTGGGTGAGGACCCATCTTTCCTCTCTCCCTCTCAATTTCAACCTCATAATACCATCTTAACTGAAATCACTTGTTTTTCCCACATCTCTTCACAATAATTTCAATTTGTGTTTCCTAGTTTAATTTTTGCCATACCCTTTATCAACATCTGACATATTATAGATATTATTTCCTTTGTTTACTGTGCATTATCTTCTCTACAAGCTCCCCGATGGCAGAAATTTATGTTTTGTTTTGTTTTAGATCTCTGTCACGCAGGCTGGAGTGTAGTGGCATGATCTCACTGCAGCCACTACCTCCCAGGTTCAAGAAATTCGTGTGCCTCAACCTCCTAAGTAACTGTGTTAAGTAACTGTGTGCCACCATGCACGGCTAATTTTTATATGTTTAATAGAGATGGGGTTTCACCATGTTGCCCACACTGATCTCAAACTCATGACCTCAAGTGATCTGCCCACCTCGGCCTCCTAAGAAGTGCTGGGATTACACACATGAGCCACCATGCCCGGCCTATTTATTTCATTACTATAATGTTAATATCTAAAACGGGAGTAGTTATTCAAAAAACATTTGTTTGAATACAGTATTTTAACTTTTATACTGACATTTGTCAACTGATACAGTATCATTTTATTTTGAATTAAATTATCAGCTGATTTAGTAGCTTAAAATCATTAACTTTATTTAACTCTCTCATGTGGGTCAGAAATTTGCCTGGATTTAGCTGGCCAGTTCTTGTAATCTCAGCCAAGTTCACCCGTGAGTATTTGTTTGACTGCTATTTAGCCAAGAAATTAGGCTTTGGGTGTTAGATGGCTATTGATTGGGGCAACAGGGGCAATGAATCCTCTGACTCTTACTGTCCAGCCAGAGCTTATTCACATGGTATCTCAGTAGAATTCCGAAAATGAGAATGAGTGTTCAAAGCCAGTGTGATGTTGTTTCTGCCACATGCTACTAGTAAAATAAGTCATAAGTGAAGCCCAGATTTAAGAATTGGAAAAATTCCCTCCATTTCTTTTTTTTTTTTTTTTTTTTGAGATGGAGTCTCACTCTGTCACCCAGGCTAGAGAGCAGTGGCAGGATCTTGGCTCACTGCAAGCTCCACCTCTCAGGTTCACACCATTCTCCTGCCTCAGCCTCCCGAATAGCTGGGACTACAGGTACCCGCCACCATTCCTGGCTATTTTTTTTTTTTTTTTTTTGTATTTTTAGTACGGATGGGGTTTCACAGTTAGCCAGGATGGTCTCCATCTCCTGACCTCATGATCTGCCTGCCTTGGCCTCCCAAAGTGCTGGGATTACAGGTGTGAGCCACCACACCCGGCCTCCATTTCTTGATAGTAGAAAATGAAAAGACACATTACAAGTGATATAGATTCAGGGAGGAGAAGCATGTTTTGTAGTAAGTCACAGATTAATTTACTTATTTTCTCAATGAGGAAATCAAACAATTCTTCTCTCTGCATTATCTAAAAAATATAAAACAAAAAAGAGTCAACACATTCTGAGGCCTTACTATGCACCAGTCCACAAATCCTCATTAAAAATTTCTACCTGTGTACTCTATCACTCATATGTTTTTCTTATACTTATTGAAGATGAAATTCTTATATTTCTTGTCTCTGTAGCATATGATTTTCCATTATTATATCTCTCTTCTTCCTCCAGTTACCAAAATATGCCCCCTCTTTTTCCCTACAAATTATTACATAATTTGGATTATGTGGGATTAATGCTGTCTTATCCTATTATCTCAACTTAGAAAAGGTCTTCATGCTTTAAAAAAAAATCTTTACATTTTTTCAATAATAACTGTTAATTTTTTTAAAGTTTTTCTTTTTACCCTTCCCTTATATGATTAGATCTTATGGGATACTAAGGCGATTTCTGCTTCTTTTGCAAATCTCCACAGCTGTTAGATTAGTGCCTTATAGGCGATAATATAAATAATGTCAGTAATTCCTGGAGGCCAGAGATTTAAGCTTGACAACCTGTTTATACTATACCCCAAGAAAACACTAATTTCAATTATTGTTGCTGTGTGATGTCATTGAGGAGTTAAAGAAGACCCCAAATAGAAGACTAGATATCAAGGAATAAAAGTTTGGAGAATAAGTAAAAGCATACAATTAAATTTGACTATAACTGGTAAGAAACTATTTACAATGGTGGTGATACTGTTTGGTAACTAATGGGACAGTTATATTTAGTTTAAAAAATGGCAGTTTTATTAAGATGTAAGAAAAAGAACTACAAAAACAATTAAACATTTGTGCCATGATTCAAGAAATAACAGATAACTTGTCTTTCACAGTTTTGAATAAAATAAAATGAAATTGTAGAATGAAAGGATCTAATTAGGCTGAAAAATACCCCCAGAGTAAACAATGTTATATATTAAAAAACTGTTAGCTAAGCAATATGTTAAATGTCAGTGAATTGTAATCAAAGTAAGTTTGAAATGAATAAGTGTAAGAACTTGGTAAAATGTCATATAGCGAAGGATTCAATTATGTCTTGGTATGGCTGTAGTCTCTTAGAAATACAAAGGATAGGTAAGAAAGTATAGGTAGACATATGTTAAAGTAAAATATTCAATGTTATATTTTACTTCTCCCTTCTAACTCCTGTGTTTTTTTTCTGAACAACTTAATTTCTGAAATTACATTTTGGCTATCTTGAGATTTCTTGCTGGATTTTGCTTAACTTGATCACTTAAAGACAGTAGTAAAAGCAAAGAAATATGAAGTAGTAACAGACATAAAAAGTCTCTTGATCTATATTTTAGAAAATATCATATTCTCTCTATGAAATTGCCAGATAGTCTCAAAAACCTTTTGTATACTGAATTAAATATTCCCTCTGTATGCTTTCAGTGTTTGAGGCCAACATGAAGGGAAAGAAAGTATAATTCCTAATGATTTTCCAAGTGACTACTTAGAAATATTTTAGCTGTGCCCAACTACATGTGGTTTGCCCAACTACTCCTTTAAGATAAATGGTGCACAGATGAGCCTTTTGTGTGCTCCTCAAACTCTGCTCTCCCTTGATCTTCAGAATATACCTCCTTTTAAACACTCACAGATTATATAGCTAAAGCACCTACAACTTATGTGAAATAAATGCTTGATTGATTCATTCATTTTTCCTTGGGAGCAAATGGAAATAATGAAATAAGAATTTACATAAGACTACTTCTAGGAAGTATGATAGAAAGCTTGTACCATAAAACATGGGTTTTTAAAAAATAAAATATAAGTTAGTTTGTAGTCACAGGTGGATGAGATTAGAGTTATATAAGTTACATATTTATAGTGCTGTAATTTTGAAGAAAAGGACATTTATTAAGTGCATATTAACAACTAGGCACTGTGGCTTTTATATATGAATCCATTTAATATTCTCAATGTTCTTATAAAATAAGCATTAATCTTCACATAGAATAAAAGTAATATTTTTTCAAGTCTTAAAGCAAATAAATGATAGGGCAAGTATTTGAATCAAGAATTATTTGAATCCAAAGCCAATGATTATTTCTATTTGCTTTGTGATTCATTTAAAATACGTATTAAATCTATAGAGAGATAATAAAATATGTTAAAGGCACAGAGAAATTGGAATGATTAATTCTGCTTGATATTAATGAATAAATGTTAGGCATGGGGGTGTTAATTTTTTCATCTAGGTCTTAAACCAGTTGGTCTTAGAACAACATTCCATGCAGAATAGAGCACATTAAAAGACAGAGGAATGGTTTCTTTGGGGAATTGTAAAACATGCTACACAGTTGTTTGACAAAGTGTGTCAGAAGGTATAGGTAAACACAAAAAGACTGGGGCATATAACAAAAGCTAGAACCTTTGAGTTTATATTACAGACAAGTGAAAATTAATAGGCATTTTTCAGCAGAAGATTAACATAATCATATACATCAGTTGAATGACTAAATAAACGAGTTTGTATGTCAAGGGACAAATATTTTAGTCTTGAGATTTTTCCCTTAAATGGCCTTTATGTTATTCTAGAATTTCTCATGCAGTTACTTACAAACAAAAAGCATTTCTTTTTAAATGGCTCATTAACATGACAAATACAGCGGTTTATTTTTATTGCAGACTATATCTCTCTGTCTTCCTGAGAGTTTTATTAAATGTTAAAGTTTTCTGTGATAGAGAGGTGTTTGAGGCAACAGCTGTTTGACACTTTTTGAATTCCATCTTTATCTTTCTATTCATTAGATATTCATTTGGAGTTAAAAAAATTAAAGCCCATCTGTATCTTTCTCCCCCACTGCCCAATACCAATTTTACATATCCTGATGTGCCTAACTTTGCATTTGCAGAGGCATGTGCCTGTTATCTGAGAAGTGTCATCTTGTTTACAGAATGGGTGACAGATCCTTTCCACTTTGCTTAGTGGTTCTCACCTAAATTACTCTTGAGAAAATGCTCTTTGAAGATGCAACCAGATGGTTTCCCTCACATACTTGAGAAGCAGATTGGCAGTTTTGGTTCTGTTTCATCAATTGTTGAGTGGCTATTTCCTATCTTCCCCATGGGTTAGGGTGCCAGGTAGATTTATGTCCAAAAACATACAGAGAAAATAAATTCTCAGTAAGCTCTTTCTCAGCAAGTCATTAGACAGAAGTCTGGAAGACTGTACTGAGCAACTCCTCAGTGCTGCAGAAATGTTCATCTCACTGGGGTTATTTGCTGCAATTGAAATGAGGTCAGGAAATCCCTTGATTTCATCATGCCACACCAATTACTCTTGATTTTTTTTTCTCTAATGCTGGGTGGGATTATGTAATTAGCATTACCAGAAAAGGCATCATTTGAGGGGTCATTTTTATAGTGTTGTATCTAGAGTAATTATGAATACACTGAGCTAGAAATGAAACTCTTTCCCCTGACCTTTACTACCTAAGTCATAACACCTCCTTTTTACTTCATGTCTTCCTCTTCCACCCCCATCCCAGAACTCACAGGTATCAGAGCTTCAGAGTGTACTACAACTTCCTGCATGGTCAAATATAGAGCCATTCTCAGGGCCTCATGTTTTTAACTTTCATCTGCTATTGAGTGGTAGAGTACCTAATGCTGATCATTTTGCTCCTCATCAAATTATTAGCAAAGCTTAAATAATCTCTTAATAACAGTGATTGATTAGGAAATTACTTTTTTATTCCATTGGATTTTTGAGTCACAGGAAGAAAACGAATACAGAATTCTTCTAATTCAAATTTAGATTTTCCCTTACTGAATATTTTAGAAATTGATCTCACTTTAATTTGTTATTCCGAATCAGGAATGTTATTTACATTCTCCCAAATCTTGGCAATTTTACATTTGAGTTTACAAATTGCTCAATTAGAGCAGAAATAATCAATCCAGCTGCTCATCAGGATGTAAAAAGGTCTGTGTGATTGGCATCATGCTCAGGACCATCATCCCACCCCAGCCATGTCCATGCATCTATTGCTGGATAATGTAAATATGTGACATTACATAGAAACAGAAACTTTGCAGATGTAATTAAGATTATAGATCTTAAGAAGGATCTACACAGGATTATCAGATGGACATATTCCATTCCATTCAGTAGAGAAATTTCTTAAGCTGGAGTTAGAGATACATGGCAGGAACAGAAGTCAGAATTAAAATGTGGGAAGAAATTGTCCTGTTATTTATGGCTTTGAAGATGGAAAGGGCAACATGACAAGGGATATGGATGGCTTTGAGGAGATGAGAGAGGCTCCTACCTAATGGTCACCAAGGAAACAGAGTCCTCACTTTTACAACTGCTTAGAAATAAATTCTGCCAACAACTTCAATACATCAGGAAGTAGATTGTCTCCAGAGCCTCCAGAATGCAACAAAGTTCTGCAGATACCTTGATTTTGGCCTTGTGAGATTTTGGGTGGAAGACCCAGGTGAGTCATGCCATATCAGAACTTCTGACCTATAAAAATGAGCAACAAAAGTGGGTACTATACCATAAAATTTTATATTTTTGATATATGTTACAACAGTGATAGAAAATTAATACAGGCGTGACATCAGCAACATGGCAGAATAGTAATCTCCTAACTCTCCCTCCACATACAGACACACCAAATAAGCATGTATTCATGGATTAATTCTTTTTGAAAGTCAGAGAAAGTCAGATGAGAGACTCCTAACCATGAGGCAACTAAGAAGACATCCACACCAAATGAGAAGGAAAAGCTAAGGCACACAAGCATCAGCCCCTACCCTGGGCACTGTGCCATAAAATCAAAAGAGGAATCTCCAACACTGAGCTTCCCCCTGTGGAGAATAGGTTTTTGACCTCACATATACCACCCTAACTCAAACCCATGGTTTGACTCTTAATTCACCTACTCTGGGAGTGAAGAGGATTAAACACGTGCATCCTTTTGTAGACCACAGGAAAAAAGCAGCAGTTTTATATGGATGTGCAAGTGCTTCCAGGGTTTTCATCCCCCAGAAGAGTGTAGAGAAGGGGCTTAATGAAACACTTCCCAATATTTCTCTACAGAAAAGGTTTATGACATACTCTTTCAGTGGCTACTGTGTAGCCTGAATTCTAACTAACTTTCGTCAGAAAGTTAAAAGGGCAGACAAATATTCACCACCGCCAGACTGAGAAAAAAAAAATGGCATTTAGGACACCTACTCCTCTGGTTCACCCCAGTGATAATTCCAGGTCTATTAGCCCCTTCAGGAAAGAATTTGCTCACACATTGAGTATCTCAATATTTGCAGTTTCCACCCAAGTGACTGCCTCCCAAATCTCTTAGTTCTGGGAGCAGAGGGCCCTGGCATACAAGTGTCTCTCTAGACCACAGGAAAAGAGTAGCATTTTTTACACAGGTATGCAAGCACTTTCAAGGGCTTTATCCCATAGAAGCCATGCAGGGAAGGGCTTTAAAATGTGACTCTTTATTTCTCCCTGGAAGGAATTATAACACAATTTTGCACTGGCTACTTGGCTTCTAACTAACTTACATCAGAAAGTTAAAGGGGCAGACAAATGTTAGCCCTCTCAAGGCCTGAGAAGCAGATTGATACTTCCTGATCCTTTTTCTCCAAATCACCCTAGCAATACCTCCTGTTCTATGAATCCCTCCTGGAAAGTATCCACACACTGAGCACCCCAGCTTTAATAGCTTCTATCTGAGGGACTGCATTCTAAACCTATGTCTGGAAGGAGGAAGGACTAGACATATGCAAATCTCACCAATAAATAAAGAATAAAGAGTTGGGTTTAAATGAGCACACAAATAGTCCAGGGTCTACACTCTCTTGAAGCAAATGCAAAAGTGGCAGAACATGCAGCTTCCATTTACTCTCTGAAAGAGGGTTATGGCACATACTTCAAGTGGCTACTTGATATCCCAGCTTCTAACAAAAATGGGCATAAGGGAACTTACAGAACTTACAGGGCAAACAAACAATGGCCTTCTGGTAGCTGGAGCCAAACTAAGCACTTTAGGAGCTTCATCTCCAACTTGTCCCAGTGATGAATCCAGATCTACCCATTGTTCCTACAGGAAGCCTGGCCACCCACCTAGTGTCACAACATTCATAGTTCCCACCAAAGAGACTGTCTCCTTAAAAATCTAGATCTGGGAGTCAATGGGACTTTGTATTTCTGAGTAGTTGTAGACCACAGTAAACAAAGAGATGAACTTACATGAGTCTACATACAGCAGCTATCTCCCTAGGATCTCAGGCTACAGCCTGAATGTGAGCATAGGCATTTGCCACAGATTGTCTTCACAGGTTAGTGCAGACAAAGTGAGAGATAAATTGCAATTCAGATTCACCATGAAGATAGAAGTAATTGAATCACACAACCAACACCCTAACCTTTCCAACATCTAGAGAGTCTAACTCCTACTTTGCCAGTCTCATGGCACTGATAGGATGTGGCACACCCTAAGCTCCAGGTGGCTACCAAAAACAGAGACAGCAGTATAGACAAAAATACAGATCTGAGAGTACCTTAAAATCACTGGGCAGACAGACTGGTGAAATTTTTCTCTTACAAAAAGCCATTCTGACAAGACAGAAAGAAATAGTTATCTTATAGTATGCAAAGACACCAATACAGAGAGTCAAGGAAAATAAAGAAACATAATATATTCCAAATAAAAGAACAAGATAAATTTTTAGAAACTGACCTGAGTGGGGATATGTTTTTCCAGGAAGGTAACACAGTGGTCATAAAGATTTCCATTGAGTTCAGGAAAGCATTATAAAAACAAACTCAGAATTTCAACCAAGAAATTATATGTGTATCATATATATGCAGACTAGATCAAGCAAAAGAAAGGATCAGTGAACTTGACATGTCACTGGAATCATACAATCTGAAAAAAAGAAGGAAGAAAGAAAAGGAAGGAAGGAAGGAAAGAAGGAAGGAAGGAAGGACAAAAGAAAAAAATCAAAGAAATAGTTACAGAAAACTTTCCAACCTTGTGATAGGAAATAGAAATCCAAACCCAGAAAGTCCCCAAAATAGCAAATACCATGAATACAAAGGGACCCACATTGAGACCCATCCTAATCAAACTGTCAAAAGTTAAAGACAGAGTTTTGCAAGCAGAAAGGGAGAAGTGAATTGTTACATAGAATGAAATCACCATAAGTTTACCAGCATATTTTTTCAGCAGAAACCTTCTTGACTAAAAAGGAGTAAAATGATAGATTCAAAATCCTGAAAGAAAAAAAATTGCCAACCCAAAATACTATACCCAGCAACCCATCTTTCAAAAATGAAGAGGTAATAAAGACTTTCTCAGACAAACAAAAGATGAGAGAGTTTATTACCATTAGAAGGTTCTTACAAGAAAGGCTAAAAGGAGTTCTTTAAGCTGAAGGAAGAGGACACTAATTAGCAATGTTAACTGAAAGTATAAAACTCACTGGTAAAAGTAAATACATTGTCAAATACAAAACACTATGATACTGTAAATCAATTTTATCTCTAGTACAAAGATGAAAAAGCAAACATATGAAAAACAACTAAAGCTACAATAATTTGTTAAGGATACAAAATATTTTTAAAATATAAATTGTGACAAAAAAACAACAAAATGAGAGAAAGTACAATAAAAACTCTAGTTTGTGAATGTGATCAAAGTTAACTTCTAATCAGCTTAAGATACCCAGTGAGAAGTATAAGTTTTTTTTGTTGTTGTTTTGTTTTTTGTTTTTTGTTTTGAGACAGAGTTTTGGTCTTTTTGCCCAGGCTGGAGTGCAATGGCACGATCTTGGGTCACCACAACATCCACCTCCCAGGTTCAAGCAATTCTCTTGCCACAGCCTCCTAAGTAGCTGGGATTACAGGCATGCGCCACCACACCTGGCTAATTTTGTATTTTTAGTAGAGATGGGTTTCTCCATGTTGGTCGGGCTGCTCTCAAACTCCCAACCTCAGGTAATCCACCCGCTTTGTCTTCCCAAAATGCTGGGATTACAGGCATGAGCCACCATGCCCGGCCAAGTATAAGATGTTTTATGTAAGCTTCTAGGTAACCAGAAAGTGAAAGTCTATAATAGATACACAGAAGATAAAAAGAAAAGATCCAAAAAGAAAAGATCCAAAGAATATCACTACAGAAAGTCATCAAATAACAAAGAAACAGAGAAAGAAAGAAACAAAAGATGTACAAAACAGCCAGAAAATAATTAACAAAATTGTACTAGTATGTTCTTATTTGTCAATAATTAGGTTGATTATGAATGCACTAAATTCTCTAACAGCAAAAAAAAAAAAAACCAGATTGGTCGAATATATAAAAACAAGACTCAGCTATATGCTGTCTGCAAGAGACTTACACCACATTAAGGGCACTCTGACTGAAAGTGAAGGAATAGAAAGATATTCCATGCAAAGAAACAAAAAGGGAATACAGGTAGTATACTTATTTTTAGACGAAATAGGCTTTAGATAGAAAACAGTAAAAAGAGACAAATACGGTCATTATATAGTGGTAAAATTGTAATATCAAGAGGATATTATAATTATAAATATATATGCCCCCAACCCAGGCCCTAAATATATAATGCAAACATGAAGAGACTTGAAGGGAGACATATTGCAACACAATGATGAGATATAAATTATTATTTGATTACCTTTCAACATTGGACAAATCTTTCAGGCAGACTGTCAGTAAGAAAACACTGGATTTGAGCTAGACACTAGACAAATAGAGCCTAACAGACATATACAGAACATTCCACCCAATGGCAACAAAATATACATTTATATCCAGTATTTTCTGACTACAATTGCATAAAATTGGAAATCAATAGCAGGAGGAATCATAGAAAACTAATGAACATTTGGCAATTAAACAATATGCTCCTGAACAACTATTGGGTCAAATAATCAATCAAAGAGGGAATTAAAAAAAATCTAGAGACACAAAATTGAGAACACAACATATTGAAATGTATGCGATGCATCAAAAGCAGTTCTAAAAGGGAAGTTTGTAGCAATAAATGCCACATCAAAAAAAAAGATCTTAATATTACACCACAAAGGACTAGAAAAAGAAGAATAAACGAAGTCCAAAGTTAGTAGAAGGAAAGAAATAAAACTCAGAACAGAAATAAATAAAATATAGAGTAGAAAAATGTTATCAATGAAATGAATAATTGGTTTTTTGAAAAGCTAAACAAAATTTAAAAACCCTTAGCTAGACAAACTAAGAAAAAAGTGAAGACTGAATAGATTAAATCATAAGTGAAAAAGGAGACATTACAACTGACAACACAAATGTAAAGGACCATAAGAGACTACTATGAACAATTATATACCAGCAAATTGGACAATCTATAAAAAAATGGATAAATTCCTAGAAACATGTAACCTACCAAGACTGAATAATAAAGAAATTGAAAATTTCAAAAAAATAATAATGAGTAAAAAGATCAAATCAGTAATTAAAAATCTCTCATCAGAGAAAATTCCAGGACCATATGGCTTCATGACTCAATTCTACCAAACATTTAAAGAACTAATAGCAGTCCTTAAACTCTTTCAAAATATTAAAGAGGAGCATACTTCCAAACTCATAATATGAAACCAACATTACTCTGACCAATGCCAGACAAAAATACTATGAGAAAAGAAAATTGTAGACCAATATTACTAGAAAACATAGATGCAAAAACCCTCAACAAAATGTTAGCAAACTGTATTTAACTGTACATTAAATGGATTGTTCACCATGATTGAGTGGGACTTATCCCTAGGATGCAATGTTGGTTCAATGTATGCAATATAGTCAAATATATACATATTAATTATTATGATTCATCATATTACCAAAATGAAGGACAAAAGCAATTTGATCATCTCAATAGATGCCAAACAAGCATTTTGAAAATTTAAATATCTTTTCATGATAAAAACATACAACAAATTAGGTATAGAAGAAAATTTTCTAAATGCAACAAAGGCCATACATGACAAGTATCATCATAGGTAATGATGAAAAGTTAGTTAATAGTTAATGATCATCATAGTTAATGATGAAAAGAACTCTTATACTCTCTTGGTGGTACTGTAAATTAATACAGCCATTTTGGAAAACAGCATGGAGGGTTCTCAAACCCTAAAGATAGAATTACCATATGATCAAGCAATCTCTTTACTGGCTATATACTCAAAGCAACTGAAATCAACATACCAAAGACATACATGCACTCACATGCTTCCTAGATCGGGAAAAAGACAAGGAGGTCTACTCTCACTTCTTCTATGTAACAGTACTTGAACTCCTAGGCAGGGCACTTAGACAAGAGAAAGAAGTAAAAAGCATTCAAATAGTAACAAAGTAAAATTGTCTATTTGTGAACACATAATCTTACATATAGAAAACTCTAAAGGCTCCACTAAAAAAAGTTAGAGCTGATTAATTAGTTTAGTAAAGTTGTAGGATACAAAAATTGCCTTATAAAAAATTAGAGGTGTTTCCACATAGTGAAAACAATCTGTCTGAAAGTGAAATTAAGAAAAGAATCCAATTTATGATAGCATCAAAAACCATACTTAGGAGTAATTTAAGGAGATAAAAGATCTCTATACTGAAAACTATGAAATATTGAAATAAATTAAAGATGATAAAAATAAATGGAAAGATAGCTTGTGTTCATGGATTGGAAGAATTAATATTGTTAAGATATCCAGACTGTACAAAGTCATCTACAAATTTAATGCAATCCTTATCAAAACATAGATGTCATTCTTCATAGAAAATGAAAAAAATCATGAAATTCATATAAAACTACAAAAATCTCCAAATACCAAATGCAATTCTGACCAAAATGAACAAAGCCAGAGGCATCACACTACATGACTTCAAAACATACTACAAAGCTATGGTAGTCAAAGCAGTATGGTACTGCATAAAAACAAAACATAGACCAGTGGAGAAACCAGACATCTATAGTCAATTGATTTTTAACAGGGTTTCAGGAGCACGCAATGGGGAAAGGACAGTGTCTTCAATAAACGCTTTTGGGAAAATTGTATATTTACATACAGAAGAATAAAAATTGACATTTGTTTTACTATTTATGTAAGAATAAACTCAAAATGGATTAAAGACTTAAACATCAGACTTGACCCTATAAAGCTACTGGAAGAAAACAGAGTAAAAGTTCCATGACACTGGCTTGGGCAGACATATTTTGGATATGACCCCAAAAGAACAGGCAACGAAAGCAAAAGTGAACAAATGGGATTTCATTGAAATAAAAAGCTTCTGCACAGCAAGATAATTGATAGAGTGAAGAGACGATCCACTGAGTGGGAGAAAATAATTAGTAAATTGTATATCGGATGAGGGGCTAATATTTGAAATATGTAAGGAATACAAGCTACTTAATAAAAAGAAAACAAGTAACCCTATTAAAAATAGGTAAAGGGCTTGAATACATATTTCTAGACTTAAAAATAGCTAACAGATATATGAAAAACATGCTGAACATGTCTAATCATCAAAGTAAGTTAAAATCACAATGACACATCACCTCACACTTGTTAGACTGGCTATTATGAAAAAGATAAAAGATAAGTGTTGGCAAAGATGTAGAGAAAAGAGAACTCTTATACTTTCTTTGTGGTATTGTAAATTAGTATAGCCATTTGGAAAACAGCATGGAGGGTTCTCAAAACCTAAATATAGAATTACCATATGATCAAGCAATCTCTTTACTGGCTATATACCCAAAGGAACTGAAATCAATATACCAAAGACATATATGCACTCACATGATTATTGTAGCATTATTAACAAAAGCCAAGATAGGGAAACAACCTAAGTGCCCATAAACAGATAAATTCATTAAAATATATGTGATATATATTATAAAAATTGTGAGTACCAAAATGAATTCACTTATGTCCAACCAAACTAAATAAAGCCAGGAGGCCATGAAGGGAAGAGAGAAAGGGAATTCAAGCACCATATTCCTGATAACAGAATACATTTCAAAAGTTTCCACCAAACCACAGCCTTGTGCAAAGAACACCTCTATGAGGACATCTTTCCAGTAACTGTCTATTTTCCCTTGGCCTGATGTCACCATTGCTTATTGATTATTGTGTCCAAGAATTAGTATTTTAAATTGATTTCTGTAATATTTATGTGATCCTCCTCCATTTGCCTTTAAAAACTTCCACTTTATTTGTCTCCCTGGATATGCCTATAGCCCTCCAGGGTTCACCATAGCATTCATACCCAGGATTTTCAAATTCCCTATTTACTACTGAATAAATGTTTTTCTCTGAAGAACAGCATTCTCTTTTTTTCTTTTTAGGTTCACAATATGTTCCATATAATACTATTCAGCCTTAAAAAAACAAAACAAACAAAAAACAGAAAATTCTGCCATTTGGAACAACATGGTTGAGCCTATATTCTCTATGTTCAATTACATTGTTGAAAATGGCCTGGCACAGAGACACAAATATCATATTATCTCACTTATATGTGAAATCAAAAAAGTCAAACTCATAGAAGTACAGAATAGAATGGTAGTTACCAGAAGCTGGGGGAATGGGAGAGATGGGGAAAAGAGACATGTTGGTCAACTGGTACAAAGTTTCATTTAGATAAGAGTAAAAAGTTCTGGTGTTATTTGCACAGCATGATGACCATGACTGTCATTAATAATAATTATTGTGTATTTCAAAGTAGCTAAAAGACGGTTTTAAATGTTCTCACTACAAAGAAATGACAAACATTTGAGGTGATGAATATGTTAATTAGCTAGATTTGATCATTCTATAATGCATGTGTATATTAAAACATCACATTGTACTCCATAAACATCTGCAATTATTATCTGTCAATTAATAGAAAAATAAAACCTAAAAAAAAAAAACTAACACAGATTTTATTTGGTGCCTGAAATTGGGGTACTACTTGATGAACACCTAAAATTTTGAAGTAACTTTTAAATTGATCAATGAGTAGAGTCTGGAAGAATTTGGAAGAATAAAATAGAAAAAGAGTACCTTGAAAAGATTGTTGATAGCAAAAATTGGACATTAAAGATTTTATCAATGAGTATCAGAAAGAAGTCAGGAAAATTATGGAGAAATTGTGAATCATCTTAGAAAAACCTAAATCTCTGTGAACACTATTGATAGAAATCTGAACTACAGGGACACTGCTGTTAAATGTTTCATGAGAATTGAGGAATATGTTATTGGAAACTTGGGAAAGGACTCTTGTTATTTTAGTGGCAGAATGCTTAGTATAAGAATGTCTTGCAGTTATGAGGAATGATGATACAAAGAGCTATTTTTTAGTCTAAGCTTCAGAGGAATGCTCACTTTTCCCTTGATCTCTCTTGTGTCTCTAGCATTACGAAAAGACTATGCCCAGGCTATGACACGTGGGAAAAAGTCATTACCCTACTTGTCCTAAACAAAGCCACCCTGAAGTTGTTCTAAACAACAAAAAGTCAAGTTACCCTAGTTGTCCTAAACAAAGCCACCTTGAATCATCTTACACCCAACCACCTCCTTACCACGTGAATGAGTCCAATGAAATCAGCAAAGCTACTTCTCTGACCACCTCAGAAGAACGAGTAACAATCCTTGAGTTTTATGTGCCACTATACTTTTGTGATTATTTGCAATGCAGCATTATTTTCGGCCAATAGTTAACTGATATCGTGTGATTATTTATATCATCTATATTTTCAATTAAACAATAAGCACCATGTGGGTAGGGACTATAGCTCTATTCACTATTTAATTATCTTTCAAACTCTAGAGGAGTAAAGATAGTAGGCAATGATTTCATAACTAAGTTAAGTGGTGTTGTATAAGCAATAATAGAAACAATGAAAAATCAGCTTCTTTAGGAAACTTTTTGAAAAATATGATTGGTAAATAGGGTTAGGCCAATATAAATATTTTGGAAAAAAATAAGGGAAAGAAGCAAGTACATTCACTTAGGTGAAAGGAGGATATGCAATAAGAATTGATAAAAAAGGAAGATGTTTAGGATCTCACCATTAATAAGTGGAGAAAAGGAGCAAAGCTGTAGATTTTTGAAAAGTATATGAAATTTTATAACTCTGTTCAGGCCGGGTGCAGTGGCTTACACCTGTAATCACAACACTTTGGGAGGCCAAAGCAGATGGATCACCTGAGGTCAGGGGTTCAAGACCAGCCTGGCCAACATGGTGAAACCCTGTCTCTACTAAAAATACAAAAATTAGCCGGGCATGGTGGCAGGCATCTGTGATCCCAGCTACTCAGGAGGCTAAGGCAGGAGAGTCACGTGAACCTGGGAGGCGGAGGTTGTGGTGAGCCGAGATTGCACCACTGCACTGCAGACTGGGCAAAAGAGTGAGACTCCATCTCAAAAAAATAAATAAATAAAATAAAATAACTCTGTCCAGTATTCAGTATATTTTTCAGTGTTGTGACTTGTGCTCTAAGGTTTCAGAAACATTAATTTGTAATGACTGAAGACATTCTTTTTTATTATTATTATTATACTTTAAGTTCAAGGGTACATGTGCACAATGTGCAGGTTTGTTACATATGTATGCATGTGCCATGTTGGTATGCTGCACCCATTAACTCGTCATTTACATTAGGTATATCTCTTAATGCCATCCCTCCCCTCTCCTCCCACCCCATGACAGGCCCAGGTGTGTGATGTTCCCCTTCCTGTCTCCAAGTGTTCTCATTGTTCAAATCCCACCTATGAGTGAGAACATGCAGTGTTTGGTTTTTTGCCCTTGCCATAGTTTGCTGAGAATGATGGTTTCCAGTTTCATCCATGTCCCTACAAAGGACATGAACTCATCATTTATTATGGCTGCATAGTATTCCATGGTGTATATGAGCCACATTTTCTTAATCCAGTCTATCATTGATGGACATTTGGATTGCTTCCAAGTCTTTGCTATTGTGAATAGTGCCGAAATAAACAGACATGTGTATGTGTCTTATAGCAGCATGATTTATAATCCTTTGCATATATACCCAGTAATGGGATTGCTAAGTCAAATGGTATTTCTAGTTCTAGATCCTAGAGGAATCGCCACACTTTCTTCCACAATGGTTGAACTAGTTTACAGTCCCACCAACAGTGTAAAAGTGTTCCTATTTCTCTACATCCTCTTCAGCACCTGTTGTTTCCTGACTTTTTAATGATCGTCATTCTAATTGGTGTGAGATGGTATCTTATTGTGGTTTTGATTTGCATTTCTCTGATGACCAGTGATGATGAGCATTTTTTCATGTGTCTACTGGCTGCATAAATGTCTTCTTTTGAGAAGTGTCTGTTCACATCCTTTGCCCACTTGTTGATGGGGTTGTTTTTTTCTTGTAAAGTTGTTTGAGTTCTTTGTAGATTCTGGATATTAGCCCTTTGTCAGATGAGTAGATTGCAAAAATTTTCTCCCATTCTGTAGGTTGCCTGTTCACTCTGATGGTAGTTTCTTTTGCTGTGCAGAAGCTCTTTAGTTTAGTTAGATCCCATTTCTCAATTTTGGCTTTTGTTGCCATTGCTTTTGGTGTTTTAGACATGAAGTCCTTGCCCATGCCTATGTCCTGAATGGTATTGCCTAGGATTTCTTCTAGGGTTTTTGTGGTTTTGGTCTAACATTTAAGTCTTTGATCCATCTTGAATTAATTTTTGTATAAGGTGTAAGGAAGGGATCCAGTTTCAGCTTTCTACATAATGGCTAGACAGTTTTCCCAGTACCATTTATTAAATAGGGACTCCTTTGCCCATTTCTTGTTTTTGTCAGGTTTGTCAAAGATCAGATGGTTGTAGATGTGTGGTATTATTCCTGAGGGCTCTGTTCTATTCCATTGGTCTATATCTCTGTTTTGGTACCAGTACCATGCTGTTTTGATTATTGTAGCCTTGTAGTATAGTTTGAAGTCAGGTAGCATGGTGCCTCCAGTTTTGTTGTTTTGGGTTGGGATTAACTTGGCAATGTGGGCTCTTTTTTGGTTCCATATGAACTTTAAAGTAGTTTTTTCCAATTCTGTGAAGAAAGTCATTGGTAGCTTGATGGGGATGGCATTGAATCTATAAATTACCTTGGGCAGTATGGCCATTTTCACAATATTGATTTTTCCTACCCAGGAGCATGGAATGTTCTGCCATTTGTTTGTGTCCTCTTTTATTTCGTTGAGCAGTGGTTTGTAGTTCTCCTTGAAGAGGTCCTTCACATCCCTTGTAAGTTGGATTCCTAGGTATTTTATTCTCTTTGAAGCAATTGTGAATGGGAGTTCACTCATGATTTGGCTGTTTGTCTGTTATTGGTGTATAAGAATGCTTGTGATTTTTGCACATTGATTTTGTATCCTGAGACTATGCTGAAGTTGCTCATCAGCTTAAGGAGATTTTGGGCTGAGACGATGGGGTTTTCCAGATATACAGTCATGTCATCTGCAAACAGGGACAATTTGACTTCCTCTTTTCCTAATTGAATACACTTTATTTCTTTCTCCTGCCTAATTGCCCTGGCCAGAACTTCCAACACTATGTTGACTAGGAGTGGTAAGAGAGGGCATCCCTGTCTTGTGCCAGTTTTCAAAGGGAATGCTTCCAGTTTTTGCCCATTCATTATGATATTGGCTGTGGGTTTGTCATACATAGCTCTTATTATTTTGAGATACATCCCATCAATACCTAATTTATTGAGAGTTTTTAGCATGAAGGGCTGTTGAATTTTGTCAAAGGCCTTTTCTACTTCTATTGAGATAATTATATGGTTTTTGTCTTTGGTTCTGTTTATATGCTGGATTACATTTATTGATTTGCGTATGTTGAACCAGCCTTGCATCCCAGGGACGAAGCACAATTGATCATAGTGGATAAGCTTTTTGAGGTGCTGCTGGATTCAGTTTGCCAGTATTTTATTGAGGATTTTTGCATCAATGTTCATCAGGGATATTGGTCTAAAAATCTCTTTTTTTGTTGTGTCTCTGCCAGGCTTTGGTATCAAGATGATGCTGGCCTCATAAAATAAATTAGGACGATTCCCTCTTTTTCTATTGATTGGAATAGTTTCAGAAGGAAGGGTACCAGCTCCTCCTTGTACCTCTGGTAGAATTCAGCTGTGAATCCGTCTGGTCCTGGACTTTTTTTGGTTGGTAAGCTATTAATTATTGCCTCTATTTCAGATCCTGTTATTGGTCTATTCACAGATTCAACTTCTTCCTGGTTTAGTCTTGGGAGGGTGTGTATGTCCAGGAATTTATACATTTCTTCTAGATTTTCTAGTTTATTTGTGTAGAGGTGTTCATAGTATTCTCTGATGGTAGTTTGTATCTCTGTGGGATCAGTGGTGATATCCCCTTTATCATTTTTTATTGTGTTCATTTGATTCTTCTTTCTTTTCTTCTTTATTAGTCTTGCTAGCAGTCTATCAATTTTGTTGATCTTTTCAAAAAACCAGATCCTGGATTCACTGATTTTTTGAAGGGTTTTTTTTTGTCTCTATTTCCTTCAGTTCTGCTCTGATCTTAGTTATTTCTTGTCTTCTGCCAGCTTTTGAATGTGTTTGCTCTTGCTTCTCTAGTTCTTTTAATTGTGATGTTAGGGTGTCAATTTTAGATCTTTCCTGCTTTCTCTTGTGGACATTTAGTGCTATAAATTTCCCCCTACACACTGCTTTAAATGCATCCCAGAGATTCTGGTATGTTGTGTCTTTGTTCTCATTGGTTTCAAAGAACATCTTTATTTCTGCCTTCATTTTGTTATGTTCCCAGTAGTCATTCAGGAGCAGGTTGTTCAGTTTCCATGTAGTTGAGTGGTTTTGAGTGAGTTTCTTAATCCTGAGTTCTAGTTTGATTTCACTGTGGTCTGAGAGACAGTTTGTTATAATTTCTGTTCTTTTACATTTGCTGAGGAATGCTTTACTTCCAACTATGTGGTCAATTTTGGAATAAGTGCGATGTGGTGCTGAGAAGTATGCATATTCTGTTGATTTGGGGTGGAGACTTCTGTAGATGTCTATTAGGTCCACTTGGTGCAGAGCACAGGTCTACTCCTGGATATCCTTGTTAACTTTCTGTCTTTTGGATCTGTCTAATGTGGACAGTGGGGTGTTAAAGTCTCCCATTATTATTGTGTGGGAGTCTAAGTCTCTTTGTAGGTCTCTAAGGACTTGCTTTATGAATCTGGGTGCTCCTGTATTGGGTGCATATATATTTAGGATAGTTAGCTCTTCTTGTTGAATTGATCCCTTTACCATTATGTAATGGCCTTCTTTGTCTCTTTTGATCTTTGTTGGTTTAAAGTCTGTTTTATCAGAGATTAGGATTGCAACTCCTGCCTTTTTTTGTTTTCTATTTGCTTGGTAGATCTTCCTCCATCCCTTTATTTTGAGCCTATGTGTGTCTCTGCATGTGAGATTGGTCTCCTGAATACAGCACACTGATGGGTCTTGACTCTTTATCCAATTTGCCAGTCTGTGTCTTTTAATTGGAGCATTTACCCCATTTACATTTAACGTTAATATTGTTATTTGTGAATTTGATCCTGTCATGATGATGTTAGCTGGTTATTTGGCTCGTTAGTTGATGCAGTTTCTTCCTAGCATCGATGGTCTTTACAATTTGGCATGTATTTGCAGTGGCTGGTACCAGTTGTTCCTTTCCATGTTTCTTGCTTCCTTCAGAAGCTCTTGTAGGGCAGGCCTGGTGGTGACAAAATCTCTCAGCATTTGCTTGTTTGTAAAGTATTTTATTTCTCCTTCACTTATGAAGCTTAGTTTGGCTGGATATGAAATTCTGGGTTGAAAATTCTTTAAGAATGTTGAATATTGGCTCCCACTCTCTTCTGGCTTGTAGAGTTTCTGCCGAGAGATCAGCTGTTAGTCTGATGGGCTTCCCTTTGTGGGTAACCTGACCTTTCTCTCTGGCTGCCTTTAACATTTTTTCCTTCATTTCAACTTTGGCCAGTCTGACAATTATGTATCTTAGAGTTGCTCTTCTCGCCGAGTATCTTTGTGGCGTTCTCTGTATTTCCTGAATTTGAATGTTGGCCTGCCTTGCTAGGTTCAGGACGTCTTCCTGAATAACATCCTGCAAAGTGTTTTCCAACTTGGTTCCATTCTCCCCATCATTTTCATGTACACCAATCAGACACAGATTTGGTCTTTTCACATAGTCCCATATTTCTTGGAGGCTTTGTTCATTTCTTTTTACTCTTTTTTCTCTAAACTTCTCTTCTTGCTTCATTTCATTCATTTGATCTTCAATCACTGATACCCTTTCTTCCAGTTGATTGACTTGGCTACTGAAGCTTGTGCATTCATCATGTAGTTCTCAAGCCATAGTTTTCTGCTCCATCAGGTCATTTAAGGACTTCTCTACACTGGTTATTCTAGTTAGCCATTCATCTAATCTTTTTTCAAGGTTTTTAGCTTCTTTGTGATGGATTCAAACTTCCTCCTTTAGCTCGGAGAAGTTTGATCATTTGAAGCCTTCTTCTCTTAACTCCTCAAAGTCATTTCCTGTCTAGCTTTATTCTGTTGCTGGTGAGGAGCTACGTTCCTTTGGAGGGGGAGAGGCACTCTTATTTTTAGAATTTTCATATTTTCTGCTCTGTTTTTTCCCCATCTTTGTGGTTTTATCTACCTTTGGTCTTTGATGATGTTGATGTACAGATGGGATTTTGGTGTGGATGTCCTTTCTGTCTGTTAGTTTTCCTTCTAACAGTCAGGACCCTCAGCTGCATGTCTGTTGGAGTTTGCTGGAGGTTCACTCCAGACCCTGTTTGCCTGGGTATCAGCAGTGGAGGCTGCAGAACAGCGAATATTGCTGAACAGCAAATATTGCTGCCTGATTGTTCCTCTGGAAGTTTCGTCTCAGAGGGGTACCCAGTCATGTGAAATGTCAGTCTGCCCCTACTTGGGGGTGCCTCCCAGTTAGGCTACTCAGGGGTCAGGGACCTACTTGAGGAGGCAGTCTGTCCATTCTCAGATCTCAAAGTCCGTGCTAGGAGAACCACTACTTTCTTCAAAGCTGTCAGACAGGGACATTTAAGTCTGCAAAGGTTTCTGCTGCCTTTTGTTCACCTATGCCCTGCCCCCAGAGGTGGAGCCTACAGAGGCAGGCAGGCCTCCTTGTGCTGCAGTGGGCTCCACCCAGATTGAGCTTCCTGGCCACTTTGTTTACCTACTGAAGCCTCAGTAGGTAATGAGTGGCACCCCTCCCCAGGGTAATGGTGGGCGCCCCTCCCCCAGTCACGCTGCCACCTTGCAATTCCATCTCAGACTGCTGTGCTAGGAATGAGCGAGGCTCCGTGGGCGTGGGACCCTCCAAGCCAGGCACAGGATATAATCTCTTGGTGTGCCGTTTGCTAAGACCATTGGAAAAGCACAGTATTAGAGTGGGAGTGACCTGATTTTCCACGTGCCATCTGTCACAGATTTGTTTGGCTAGGAAAGGGAATTCCCTGACCCCTTGCACTTCCCAGGTGAGGCGATGCCTTGCCCTGCTTTGTCTCACACTTAGTGTGCTGCACCCACTGTCCTGCACCCACTGTCCAGCAAGCCCCAGTGAGATGAACCCAGTACCTCCATTGGAAATGCAGAAATCACTAGTCTTCTGCGTTGCTCACGCTGGGAGCTGTAGACTGGAGCTGTTCCCATTCGGCCACCTTGGAACCGCCCCCCTGCCAACTGAAGACATTCTTTGCTCTCATTTCTTTTTTAAAAAACATAAATAGGTGACCCATGACATTCTCCTGTGTGTCTGTCCTGTCTGAATTGTAGCAGATAATCTGTACTTGAGTAACGCAACCACCCATCATCTAACACTAATAAGGCAAATGTTTGAGAGCCATGAATGCCTGCAATTTTTCAGCATGACTACAAAAGAAGTTACTGCATCACATGTTGACTCCTTTGTCTGCCAGGATGGTACCTAAAAGGTCTTTTTTTCATAAAGTCTTAAGACTTGTCACAAAGAGATTATGGACTTGAAATCAGTAAAATGCCAATAAAAACGCTCTTTCTATCAGTGAGGATCTAGAGACACTTATGACTTCCTACGTTTGCTTGTTTAGGCATTGCTCTAATTTTTAATGTTTATATATTATTATATATATTTCTGTAAAAATATTGAAGATATTGGATGATTTAGGTAAATATTAACTTTGGAATAATCTATAAAATTATGAAATTGTGTCAATTATTTTCCAAGTAGTTATTTACTTCAGTATTCAAGTATAACTATTGCCTACTTATATTTGTAGAATAAAATGTGTGGAATTAATTTATTATTATAGCTATTTTATTTGGTTAGCTTATTTTTATTAGTGTAATAATGTATTTCAGGTATAAATCCCAATCTATTTTCTGAGAGATTTTAGTGTAATAGCCATTTCTCTTCATTTATAAATATATTCACTTCAGTACAAAATTAAGAAGTCTGAACTTTCAGTTAAAATTTTTGAAAATTCCTGGCCAGGTGCAGTGGCTCATGCTTGTAATCCCAGCACTTTGGGAAGCCGAGGTGGGTGGATCACCTGAGGTTGGGAGTTTGAGACCAGCCTGACCAACATGGAGAAACCCCATCTCTACGAAAAATACAAAATTAGCTGGGTGTGGTGGCGCATGCCTGTAATCCCAGCTACTTGGGAGGCTGAGGCAGGAGAATCGCTTGAACCTGGGAGGCAGAGGTTACAGTTAGCTGAGATCGCACCATTGCACTCTAGCCTGGGTGACAAGAGTGAAATTCCATCTCAAAAAAAAAAAAAAAAAAGAAAATTCCTTAGTAGACTTTTTATGGTTGATTGATATTCTCTATTAGAGTTGATATTTTACTTAATTTTAATATATATTTGCCCTCCTTAAACCACATACATTAGTTTCTATATTTATACCTTCCAAATGTCTCTTTGTATCATTTACTTCTTGAGTAACTTTAGATATTGTCATGATATTATGATTCAAGAGAGCAAGAGTACCCATTAATATTATTTATTAAATTGACCAATTCAAAAACATGAACACAAATGCAAGGATTTTCCCCTATAATCAATACCAGTGATGCTATTCTATGAATTGGGTTATGTCAATAGCAGTCAGATAATTTGCAGAACATTCTGGTGCAATCTGTGCTTTCAAAGATAGAATGTAAAAAATGTGGAAAGATGTCCTTATTGAATTACCAGAATAATGATAGTTTTAGAGTAAGTTTTACACTGCAAAGTTAAAGGACCTATGACAATAAAGTAAAAAAATTCTGTGGGTTATTTTATTGGGGGGATTTACAACTTATTCTTTGTAAGTCAGATTCTTAATAATTTCTATATATTTTAAAATTAGAAAAATATTCCAGGACAAACTATATAACTGTTGCATATATAAATGGAACGGGTGACACAAAACTAAAATATATATGTCTATAATTTTAAGAAAAAATGTTTTTTCAAATATTTTTGAGGGTTTATAGAATACGTTTCTTCTATAAAAATCAAGAATGGTTTGCATACTGTTTAAAGAAAGAGTTGGCCGGGCGCGGTGGCTCACGCCTGTAATCCCAGCACTTTGGGAGGCCGAGGCGGGCGGATCACGAGGTCAGGAGATCGAGACCATCCCGGCTAAAACGGTGAAACCCCGTCTCTACTAAAAATACAAAAAATTAGCCGGGCGTAGTGGTGGGCGCCTGTAGTCCCAGCTACTTGGGAGGCTGAGGCAGGAGAATGGCGTGAACCCGGGAGGCGGAGCTTGCAGTGAGCCGAGATCCCGCCACTGCACTCCAGCCTGGGCGACAGAGCGAGACTCCGTCTCAAAAAAAAAAAAAAAAAAAAAAAAGAAAGAGTTGACATTTGTAGGATAAAGATGTTAAAGGATTTTTCTCCCTTCTGATTTGGAGTCTTCATAGACAAGAATTTTATAGTTTTACATTTGCAGAATGTATAGATTTATTCTTATTAAATATATACCATTTTGCAAGAGTTTTACTACACATTGAGTATTGTGGGAATTCAAATATTAACATATAACTCTTATCTCCAAGGTGCTTATTATGCAGTTTGGGAGAAATTACATACTAATGTGAAAAACGATAAAAGCAATTGTCCTAGACCATTTGGCTCCTATAACAAATTACCATAGACTGGATGTTTAAACAACAAAAAATTATTTTTCACAGCTCTGAAGGCTGAAAGTTTGAGACTAGAGTGCCAGCATAATTGGGTTCTGGTAAGGGCTCTCTGCCTGATTTGCAGAGGGTATCTTCCTGCTGTGCCCTTGCATGGTCAAAGAGAGCAGAAAGAAAAGAAAAGCAAGCTTTATTGTTTTGTATCTATGTTTTGTGTTGTTAAGCTAAAACTGTTAAGGAAGGTCACAAACAAGTGGAATTTGATGTAAATAGAATTTCCCTTTAACGAAAGCACTTGTGAGGCAATGTAAATAGTAAATAAATGTAGGGAGCTGGGAATCAGCAATGACTTCTGTCAAGATACTGACCCCACATAAATAGAAAATATATGTAACATGGAAGATAGAGCATAAAAGAAAATTTGAACCTACCTGATGGGTAGATTTGAATTACTGGCTTAAGCGGCTGAACTTTGTTCCCAGTATGTTTACTCCATTGAGTGCGTGGATTCTTGGAAGATATATCTGGAACCACTTCCAGAAGCAAATGAAAAATCAGACTACAGTCCCATCTCCCATGTTTAAACTCATTTGGTACCATTTCAATAAGTTTTATATAAGTATTGTATACAAAACTGAAAGCTAAAAAATAAATGTTCTAGGTCATAGGGAGTCAGTAAAATTTTAGGAGCAAGGGTGATTTTATTAAGAAGACTAGTATGCAGGTGGCAAAAAATAGCTATATAATAAATAAAATAATGTATTCACATCATCAAGAGGCACAAAGATAGAGGTGGTTTAGGTGGTCTGTGGAGGTCCCACATAGCAGACAGTCTAGCTGTTGTAAGCCATAGGGACAGAATATATATTGACTTTGCTTGCCGCACCCCTGGGCCAATTGTTTAGTTGGGAAATGGAGTGCCCAATGAAGACTGTGGCAGGTAGAATTGGAGTGAGGAAGCGGAAGCACCATAACTTTCATCCTCATCAAGGCCACATAGAAAGGAGTTCACCATGTGAAGAAATATGAAGCATAGCATGTATCTAATAAAGAATAAATTACAGGAGCAGTAAATCATTAAGTAAATACAGGTGGGAGCTTCGGAGCTGATGCCTATGGAGAGCTGGAGATGTAAGGTTATTACAGCTCAGGAAAGAGCAGGTAAAGACCTGAACCAGGGTAGCAGGCCTTGAAATAGAAAGGCATGTGAACTGTACAAAAAATAAACTTATTCTTTTCACTTTTGTGTACTTGTATCGTGTCAAGCATCTGAATCAACAATTTGAAACATAGTTTTGCCCTCAGCAAATTTCTAAATGGCCTAAAATTGGTTTGTCCTCCGAACAATTCTAAAAAG
Organism: Homo sapiens; assembly: GCF_000001405.40. NCBI lineage: Eukaryota > Metazoa > Chordata > Mammalia > Primates > Hominidae > Homo > Homo sapiens. The sequence goes on from NC_000012.12 coordinate 73,508,001, forward strand.
ACTTTTTGACTTGTAGGACACATTTATTCACTTGTCCTGAAAACCCTACCAATTCTTATGATCAAATTTTTATTTCTCTTCCTCTTTCATTTTTTCCCATTAATTTCTAATTTGCTATTTTTCTCAAATTCTCTATTGTGTATTAACTCACTTTCTTCAATCCTCCTTTCCTTCTGCTCTATCAAAGTATCACTTCCTAAATTAGCCTTCTTGAGCTAGACAATATAGAATCTCACCACTACCTAACACTCCTCTTGTCTCTACTTTGATTTTATTCTAATACTATATATACTATGTACTATCTAGTATAGTGCATAGTGTAATCATATATGTGATATATATATTTATGTAATGTATATCACAACCTATTTTTCCCTCTCTACTGTAAACTGAAATAGGACACTTTTTAAATTCTGTTCACTGCTATATTCTCTGCACTTAGAATATTTATTATCATGTAGGCATGAAATAAAATTTCATGAGTAAGTTACCTAAAACTAATTTGTTAATTTTAGGGCATATCTTCAAATTCATATGATTTTCACTTAAAAATAATTTACTTACTATTTTTTGAAACCCCACTTTATACTATGTACTGTAAAAATTTTTGAATATATAGAAATGAACAAAAATGTGTGGTCCCATATTTCATGGACCTTACAGTTTGGTGGGAATGGTGACATTTATGCAAATTATCAAACAAAAGTGTAACTGTAAAATATTACAAATGCTAAGATAACAAAATATACTTTAATGAAAAAGCAAGCAAGGCTACTCTAAGGAGTGACTTTTTGCTAGGGTCATAAAAGAGATCTAAGAGCTAGCTAAGCAATAGAAATAGGCAGGGTCATTGTAAATGGAATGAATGGTCTGAATCAGTAAAGACTTTGGCCCGTGGAGAAACACAAAGGTCAATATACCTGGAGCTTGTAATGAGGAAAGATTAGATGTTGATGAATTTAGAGAGATAGACAAGTACCAGAACACAAAGAAACTTCAAGGATCTATCAAAGATATTAATATGCAACTATAGTTGGTCTACTACAGTGGTTGTCAATCATACTAGACCCAGTATCCTCTTTCTCTAACAAATGATTTATAATGCTCTTTTATTATTCAGATTAATTCAGTCATTATATAACCTATGCACATACATAGTTTCAGTAAAAATTCAATACACTGGTAATACTCTATATTATAAAAGAAAAAAAGGAAAGCAATTGTGTAATAAAATAATATGTATTTAAATCTGTGTATATGTTTCAATGTTTACATGTTGGAGCATAACTCCATTATAAGACATTGAAGTAATCAAAAGGTTACATTTGTGTGTAGGGTCATCATGAATTGCCAAATTTATGAAGATGAATACAAGTTATTGTTGTGGTAACTTAGATATAAGTGGTGTTATTTCAGTAGCAATGAAAACATATTTCATACAAAATAATTTTCATACAAAATAAGTGCATTCTTTTCTTCATTTTTACTGTAATTTCCTTCTTAGAAATTTTGGTATAAATTACACCTTGCAAAACATATGTGTTCATTTGTAATGTGCAGCTAGGTTATAGGCTCAGACGGTTACAAATACATTTTTTCACATACATATATCTTTTTCATTCATTCAAAAGTCACATATCACACAAAATGAGGGAAAATTCTTAAATGTTTAGGGTGGTTGCACAAATAACAAGAAGTCTAACATCTGATGCATAGAATGTCAATGGTGAGACCACCATCATTTTAATTATAAGTAAAACCCTTCAAATAATTTCCAAAATGTGTCCTAAGGGGTAAAGCTACCTACTGATTTTCAAGATCAGTTTTAACTTTTGGGTAAAAGTATTTAAAATTCCAACACATTATTAAACTTGAATAATTAAAATGCTCATTCAGAAAGCCTAGCAGAATTGAGAAAGTGGAAAGTATGCTAGAAGAATAATCTCTGAGGACTCTAATATCTCTAATGTGGTTAGAACATATACCAATCTTTTTATCTTCTGGACAGCACACCATTTATGTTTCTAACATATGTCCAGGATGCCTGTTTAGTTTTATTCTTTCTTTCATTAGTTATAAAATGTACAATATAAAAATAAGATGTGGCAGAAGATTTGTACCTCTCTAGCCTTACATCAATAGTAAATTTCATAGCACAACCTTAAATTCGAATAAATGGGTTGCTTGGCTAAAATGTACCTCTGAGAACGACAAATAAGAAATTTCTTAGTCCTTCTTTTTTCTTTTCCTTTCCATTAATTGTCGTCTTCCTTGTCATCAGCATGGCAGTAAAAATTATGTGATGACCACACTATGAAAAGAGGGAAGGTGGGCAGTATTTTAGGAGTGAATCCAGAAGGCATTTCTGATATCCACTGGCTGATGGTTACTTCAAGCTGGTGAGACAGCTTTGTGGTCTGCCTTCTAGCTCTAAAGAGCAAACCAAAGAAGGAAAAAGAACAAGAATATAACTTACATACGAAAGGAGTTTATTTCTGGCCAGAGGCAAAATCTCTAAAGAAGCACTCTATTTTTTTCTATAATTTCATAAGAGTGTGATGTTTTACATTATAGATCATTTTTCCTTAAAACAGTGTCCATTTCCAGGTGATTTAGATCTATGCTCTCATTACCCATTCCCATTCCATAGAAAATGAATTAATAAATATTTAGGGAGTAGTGACAAACTGGAATACTTACAAATATTGACTATAAAATATGTAACACAGGATGTTATGTATTTTTTATTGAAGTGAAATTCACATAACACATAATTAACTATTTTAATGTATCAAATTCAGTGGCATTTAGTTCGTTAAAAATGTTGTTTAGCTACCAGTTATTTCTGGTCTCAAAACTTTGTATCACCCCAGAACACCCTGTACACTTTAAGTAATTATTCTCCATTTCCTTCTCCCCTATGTCCTCTGGCAACCAATAATTTTTTTTCTGCCTTTGCAGATTTGACTATTCTGGATATTTCGTATAAAAGGAATCATACAATAGGAGACCTCTTATGTCTGGTTTCTTTCATTTACATAATGTGTTTGAGGTTCATACAAGTTGTGAAAGTCGTAGCTACATTCATGCCTCTGAGGCCTCAGCTGCTGGGGATGTTCCTCAAAGTCTTAGATCCCAGCCTTGCAGGCAATTTGTATTCACTCATGGCTAGGAGAGTGAACCTGCACCCCAAGTCCCAGGAAAAATTCAATTCAATTATTCAATTCAATTCAATTCAATTCAATTCAATTCAATTCAATTCAATTCAATTCACAGTAATTCCATGAGACCCTGAGACCAGGACCCAGGTTCCACAGACACTTTTGAGTACTTATGTCCTGGAACCCAGCACTGCTGTGGCTGTCTATGGAGCACATCAGACTCAAAACCGAGAGAGAATCTCCTCACCTAAAACTCTCAACTCTGATGAAAACAAGAATAGGAGGAACTAAAAAGCCTTCGACAGAAAGGACCCTAACAGCCCATACTGCTATTACCGATACCACAAACTCCTGCAGCCTAGACTCCTGAGGCACCCATAGTCCTCATGGATCATAGCTGATGAGCTGGATGGAGACTACATCATTGGATCTACCCAGAAAATCAACATCCAATCAACACTCTTGGACCCAACTGAATATCTACATGGAAAATAATAAAATTGGATCCTTATCTTCCACCATATACAAAAATTATCTCAAAATCAATAAAAGACCCAAATTTAAGACCTGAAACTAAAACTTCTGAAAGAAAACCTAAGGAAAAATCTACTTGACATTGGCCTTGACAATGATTATATATCACATCGAAACTCAAGCAACAAAAGCAAAAATAAATAAATTAGACTACACCAAATTAAAAAGTTTCTGAAGAGCAAATGAAAAAACAAATGAAAAAGGCAGTCTATCGATTAGGAAAAAGTATCTACTAATTATATATCTGATAAAGGGTCAATAGCAAAATATATTAAAATCTCACACAATTCAACAGCAGAAAAACAACGCAATTTAAAAATCAGCAAAGACCTGAATAGACATTTTTCCAGAGAAGATATAAAAGCAGCAAGCAGGTGTGTAAAAAGTGTTTAGCATCACTAATCGTAAGGGATGAATAATCTCAATAAGAAATAAAAAGTTTCAACAACCTATAATAAGTAAAAAGATTGAATCAGTGATTACAAATGTCCAAACAAAGAAAAGCCCTGGACCAGATGTCTTCAATGGTGAATTTTATCACATTTAAAGAAGAATTAACACCACCCCTATTCAAACTCTTCCAAAATACAGAAGAGAAATGAATACTTCCTAACACATTCTGTGAAGCCATGATTATCCTGATACCAAAGCCAGAAAATGATGGCACAAGAAAAGTAGACCGATACCCCTTATGAGTATAGCCATAATATTTCTTAACAAAATAGCAGAAAACTGAATGCACTATCACATTAAGAACGTTATACACAATGACCAAGGTGGGTTTATTCCAGGAATGAAAGAGGGGTTGAACAAAAGACAATCAATCAATGTAATATACTATGTAAACAAGTTTAAAAGTACTTAAACCTCTCAATAAATTCAAAAGAATCATTGACAAAAAGTCAATATCCTTTCATAATAAAAACACTTAGTAAACTAGAAATAGAAAGGTACTTCCTTAACATGCTAAAAGGAATTTTGTAAAAACACACAGCTAACATTATATTCAGGGATGACAGACTGAAAGCTTTTCTATTAAGATCAGTAAAAAGATAAGAATGCCCACTTTTCCTGTTGTTATTCAATATTGTTCTGGAAGTGCAAGTCAGAACAATTAGGCAAAAGTAAAAAGAAACAAAAGGCATCCAAATTGTAAAGGAAAGTATAAACTATACCTGATTGTATATGAAAAGACTATCTAGAAATATCATAAAGAAGCAACAAAATATACTAAAGCTAATAAGCAAATTCTATAAAGTTGCAGGGTACAAGATCAACACATGAGTTGTGCTTTTATACACCAGTAATTAATCTGAAATCAAATTAAGACAATTCCATTTACAATAGTATAATTGTAAATTACAAGTTACCATAGAGAAAAATTCCATTTACAATAGCATAAAAGAGTAAAATATCTACAAATAAATTTAACCAAATAAGAGAAAACTACAAAACGTTACTGAAAGAAATTAAAGAAGGCCTAGTTAAATGAAAAGACATCTTATGTTTACAAACTGAAAGTCTTAGATTATTAAAATGATAATACTCCCCAAAATATTTTACAGATTCAATACAATCCCTATCAAAATTCCAATTGCCTTCTTTTTGCAGAAATAAAAAAGTCAGTCACCAAATTCATATGAAATTGCAAAACAATATTGCAAAAGAAGACCAAAGTTGGAGAACTCATAATAATTTTCAAAACTTGCTATAAACCTACAATAATCAAAACAGTATGGTACTGACATAAGCATAAACATTTAGACAAATGGAATAGAATTGAGCTTCCAAAAAGAAATCCAAAAAACTATGGCTAATGGATTTTCAACAAGGATGCCAAGACATCCTTTTCAATGGGAAAGAATAGTATTTTCAAAAAATAGTGCTGGCATAACTGAATAAGCACTTTCATTAGAATGTATTTGGACCTGTACCTACCTCAACATACAGTACAAAAGTTAATATGGATCAACAACTAAATGTGACAGCTAAAGCAATAAAATTATTAGAAGAAAGCATAAGGATAAATCTTCATGATTTCAGATTTTGCAGTAGATATTTTAGATTTGACGCCAAGAACACAAAAAATAAAATAAAAAATAAATAAATTGGACTTCACAAAAAATGAAATGTTTTATGTATCTAAAGTCTACCAAGAAAGTGAATATACAATCTACAGAATGGGAAAAAGCATTAACAAATCATATAACTTATAAAGGTTTCACATCGAAAATATATTAGAAACTCTTGCAACTCAATGACAAAAAGACAAACAACCCAATTTAAAAATGTGCAACAGACTTCAATAGACATTTCTTGAACAATGATATCAAATGACAAACAAACACATGAAAAGATGTTCAACTGCTTTGATAAGTAAGGAAATGCAAATAAAAACCACAAGTGAGCTACAACTTCATACCTGCTAGGATGGCTATAATTAAAAAGCAATAACAACAACACATAAGAAAACAAGTGTTGGCAAGGATGTGGAGAAATAAGAACCCTTCTACATTGCTGGTAGAAAGGTAAAAAGTATAGTCACTGTGATTTGTTGGTTCTTCAAGATTGTAAACACAGCACCAGCATGTTACGCAGCCATTTTACAACTAGAGAAATAAAAACATATGTCCCTACAAAAACTTGTACATGAAGGTTTATAGCTGCATTATTCATAACAGCCCAGAAATGGGACCACTCAAATGTTCATCAACAGATGAATGGATAAACAAAATATAATATACATATAGTGGAATATTATTAAGCCATAAAAAAGGAATGAAGTACTGCTATATTTCACTCTGAAGGGAAAAGTACAGCACCAATACAACTCTGGGGAAAAAGAGGAAAGATGATATTTCAAATTTTGGTGACCCATGATGCAGGGCACAGATGCAGTTTGGTTCCCAGATCTAAGTGAGCACAAAGGCAACTTGGGTCCTGGAGAATGAGGCACCATGCAGTGGTGACTCTGGACTCTGGAATGGTGGGACATTGTAGTAGCCTAGGCTCTATGCAGCTGGATGTTGCAGCAACGACCCAGGAATGGTGGGGCCCAAGTTGTTGAGGCTCCAGGAGGCAGGGCAACGGTTTAGAAGCAGTACAGCTATTATTATAATTACTCCACTGGCTAGAGTGGGGAACCTCAGCAGTTCAGCCTCTAGGGGAGCTATTCCAGGGATATAGGGTGCTGTGGCTGTTCAGCCTGGAGTTTGTGTTGGCGCAGCTTAGCCAAAGCTTTGTTTTCCTGAGACTTGAAGCACTTCATTTCAGCTGAGCCCCAGGAGAGACAGCTGTACTGCTGGGCCAAGATTCTCTTTCCCTGGGAAGTGGGAAGCTCAGGCTTCTCTACTGTTTTTCTAACCTTTACTTCATCTATCTCTGCTCTGATTCTTATTTTCTTCCCTCTGCTGACTTTGGTATCAGCTCTTCTTTGGTTCCTTCATGGGTAAGGTTAGGTTACTGATGTGAGATTTTTTTCTTCCTTTTTAATGCAGAAATTTACAGCTATGAAATTCTCACTCAGCACTGCTTTTGCTGAATTCTGTAAATTTGATATGTTCAGTTTTCATTTTTATTCACCTCAAAGTATTTTCTAATTTCCCTTGTGATTTCTTCTTTGTTCCATTGGTTATTGTAGAGTATGTGTTAAATTTTTACATATTTGTGAAATTACTAAGTTTTCTTCTGTTATCGATTCCTACTGTTTATTCTATTGCAGTCAGATAATCTAGTTTATATAATTTCAATCTCAATCTTATAAAAGTTATTGACATTTCTTTTGTAGCCTAAATATGGTCTATACTGGAGAATGTCTCATGTACATGTGAGAAGAATATGTATTTTGCTGTTGTTAGGTGGAGTGTTCTGCATATATCTGTTACATTTAATTGGTTTATAGTGTTGTTCTAGCCCTTTATTTTCTTATTGATATTTTTTCTAGTTTGTTATAACTATTATTTAAACTGGGATATCAGTCTCCAACTGTTATTGTAGAACTTTCTATTTCTCTCTTCAATTCTTTCAATATTTGCTTCATATATTTTTGTGCTCTCTTGTTTAGTGTATATATGTTTATAATTGTTATATATTCTTGACAAATTGATGTTTTAATTGACATATGTCTTTTTTTTCTTTTATAGAAATTTTGTCTTCAAATAGATCTTGTCTGATATTAGTATAGCTACCCCAAATCTCTTGGTTATTAATCCACTCTGCCAGTCTCTCTTTTTAATTGAAGGGTTAATCAATTTACATTTAAAGTGTTTATTAGTAATATGAAATTACTTCTGCCACTTTGTTATTTTTCATGTGTCTTATACCTTTTATGTTCTTCAGTTCCTCCAATACTTTTTACTTTTGTTATTGATTGATTCTTTGAGTGTACTATTTTGATTCCCTCTTTATTTCCACTTATGTATATTTAGTTATTTTCTTTGTGGCTACCATAGAGATTACAGTTAACATGCTAAATTTTTACCAATCTATTTTTAATTAATTCCAATTTAGCTTCCATAGTATGTATTAACTTCATCTTCACCCATTTAGGTTTTAATTGTTACAAATTATATCTTTATATATTATATACCCATTAACTTAGATTTATAATTATTGTCTTATGTACCAAAAAACATAGAAAAGAAAAAGAGAAATTAAAATAAGAAAAAATATTTTTCTTATTTATTAAATAAATATTTTTCTTATTTAAAAAAATAAAAAAATTCTTATTTATTAAATAAAATTGTTTATATTTCATTAATATAAAAATTAATTTTTATATTTACATTCATATTTACCTTTACCACAGCTCTTTATGTGTTTTCTTCGCTGTAGGTTATCATCTAGTGTCTTTTCATTTTAGCCTGAAGGACTCCCTTCATTATTTATCATAGGGAAGGTTTACTATCAATGAGCTTCCTTGGCTTTTGTTTATCTGATCATGTCTTTCTTCTCCCCCTTTTTTGAAGAATAGTTTTATTGGATATAGAACTTGGTTGACAGGTGGTTTTTTGGTTTTGTTTTTTGTCTGTTTGTTTTTTCTCTCAGTACTTTATACAATTTTTATCATCTTGCTGCCTTCTGGTCTCTATATCTTCTGACGAGAAGTCAGTTGTTAATTTAATTGAGTGCTCCTTGTACATTATGAGTTACTTCTCTTTTGAAACTTTCAAGGTTATGTCTGTCTTTTATTTTCACAGTTTGATCGTAATGTGTTGGTTTAGATCTCTTTGAATTTAACTTGTTTAAATATGTTGAGTTTTCTTATGTGCACATTCATGTCATTCATAAAACTTAGAAAGTGTTCGATTATTAAAAAAATATTCTTCTTGTACCTTTCTCTTCTTTCTGGAACTCCCAAAATGTATATATTGTGTACCTGATGGCATCCCGTAGGTATCATAAGATCTGTTTATTGTTTTTCTTCTCTTATGACTGGAAATAACAATCCCCTGTCTTTAATTCACAGATTTTTTTTTCTCCCACCTGCTCAAATTTGCTGTTGCACACCTCGTGAATTTTCATTTTAGCTATTGTGCTTTTCAAACCCCAGAAATTCTATTAGGTTTGTTTTTAAAATTTGTATTCTTTATCGATATTTACCACTTTTCCATGCATCATTCTACTGATTGCCCTTAGTTCTTTGTCTATTTTTTTTCTTTAGCTCTTTGAGCATATTTGAGATTACTTAAAATAGTTTCTTAGTAAGCTAATTTAAAATCTTTATCTGATAAGTCCAAAGTTGGAACTTTATTTAACTAATAGACTATTTTTAGAGCCCTTTAGGTTTATAGAAAAAATTGACCAGAAAATACTGACAGTTCTCCAAGATTCTCAACCCCTCTGCACACGGTTTTTCCTACTAACATCTTGCACTCATGTGGTACATGTATTATGATTGATAAACCACTATTGACATATTATTATAAACATATATATATATATAAATATATATAAATATATATAAACATATATTATAAATGTTCATAGCTTACATTAGAGTTTACCTTCTTTGTTGTAGAGTTGTATGTGTTTTGACAAATGCATAATGTCATGCATATACCATTACAGTGTCATACAGAATACTGTTCTAAAATTTCTGTGCTCCATCTATTTATCCTTCATTTCCATCTGCCAAACTCCTGGCCAGCAGTGATATTTTACTGTCTCCAGAGCTTTGCTTTTCCATGAATGTCATATAGTTGAAATCATGCAATGTGGAGCTTTCTCAGACTGTCTTCTTTCACTTAGCAATATGGACTTAAGGGAACTTCTATTTTTTTTTCTATTTAATTATTCATTTTTTTCTGTGAATGGGTCATACTTTCCTGTTTATTTGCATGCATTGCAAGTTTTTTATTGATGACTAGACAATTTGTGTATTTGAATGTGATAACTTTGTAAATCAGATTCTCCCACTTCTCCAGGGGCTATTTTTTTCTTTTCTTTTCTTTGTGTTTTGCTATTTTTTTCTTATTAAGGGCAGCAGCTGCTCATTTGTTTAATGTCTGTTTCAAATTATTTTTGCAAAGACTATATTTATTTTTCTTTATGATTTCCGAAGTCTCCGTTCCATAATCTCTGCAGTCATCCTGTGACCTGACAGATTTTTCTAGTGGTCTGAACCCAATAAGAAAAAGAAGAGGGCCAGGCACTGTGGCTCGCGCCTGTAAACCCAACACTTTGGGAGGCCAAGGTGGGTGGATCACTTGAGGTCAGGAGTTTGAGACCAGCCTAGCCAACATGGCGAAACCCCGTCTCTACGAAAAATACAAAAAATTAGCCAGATATGGTGACACACACCTGTAATCCCAGCTACTCTGTAGGCTGAGGCAGGAGAATTGCTTGAACCAGGGAGGTGAAGTAGCAGTGAACGGAGACTGCACCATTGCACTCCAGTCTGGGTGACAGAGCAAGACTCTGTCTCAGAAAAAAAGAAGGGAGAGAGAGAGAGAGAAAAAAAAAGATGTTTTGTCTGTTTACAGTTCTTCTGCCAGTGCCACTCAGGAAGCCACTTTAGACCAATGGCATTGAAACAATGGCCAGCATCACCAAGCAGATCATAACTCACAACCTTGATTTTTGAAAAAAAAAAATCCTTAAAGCTGCACCAGAACACAGGTTATCATATCTACAGCTGCCTGCTACAGGAAAAGGTAATTTTGGATGGTAGCTGCTATATGAAACACCAGAATTTACCAGCTCCTTTCTTTATCGAGCATTCCCCCTGGATGCCACAAATAGTTGGCATCTGTTTCAAAACTCTGTAGTTTTGAAAATAACTGATTATAATAGTTTTTGTCAAAGTAATAGTTGTTTTGGTGGAGGGTCAAATACCTAGAGCAGCGTATCTGTCATCCTCCTTGATATCATAAAGATAGGTCTTTTGATTCCAAAATTAAGTTAACTTTCTGAATAAAGTTTGTTTTCCAAAAGACCCTTACTTACTTTATAACTTGTATGTGCCTTTCTCTGCCATAAGATATTATATGGCTGAGGATTAAATAAAAATATTAATTACCAAGATGCTTATTTTTATATATAGAAAAGTTCACCTTTGTAACAATACAAGAATGTACACACTTAAAAGTAATTTTAAGTATGCATAGTTTCACATCCAGATTGGGCCTTCTCTTAGTCATCTGTCCATTCAATGTTAGTTTTTGGAGGAGGGGACATTTATACCACATAATACAATACCCAAAGGTAAAAGCAAACTGTCCCATGACTCTCCTATATTTTAAATGTATAACTCTTGGTAAAACTCTGCATTTAAAAAGTAATTAAGCAGAGGACCCTCACCATGGAAGATAAAGCAGTAAGATAAAACAATCCTAACTACTGCATGAAGAAATTAAGTTTAATATAAAGATTGATTCCCTGACAGTAAGAGTTTTTGAATATTAGAAAGATTATTCTGAAGGTCTAAGTGATCTTCTCTGGAAAAAGGACATGATTACATAATTTTAAAATCCCCATATAGAATTTTTTAGAATGCTTCTTCTTTGAGAACTCTACTAGTTTTAAAACTGGTAAACATGAGAGCTGCTTTTGAAATCTGGGCTCTGATGATTACTTTTTCAGAGGCCAGATGCAGTAGGCATCTGTGCCCAGCTGTTCGCAGAGGCACTTCTGCTTGAAGGGTGAACCATAGTTTACAACTGAAAACAGTCAGGGATATTGTGAAAGATATTTTAGTGGCAGAAAACCATGACGAATGTGCTGACACTCCTAAGGAAAATCTATTTAAAAATTATTTTTAAGGTTTTTGCACATATAAAAAGTAAAAAGACCAAAAGAAAGTAATGGCAAAACTTTTTCCCTAATTTTGTATTTAATATATGTAGCCAGGTTAAGAAACTACTTACTACATAGCAAAAAAGAAGTGTTGCGACAATGGAGTCTAGAATGCTAGACAGAGTTTTTGTTATCCAGCCCTTTAAAAAAATTTAATATATGAATCACAGCAAAATTAAGAAAAGTTTTGAAAATGCAGAAATATTTAAAAATAGTGAGCAGCATTATAATTCAATCACTCATGGATAACTTAGGGTTAGAAGGTGTTTTTCTAGCCCTATCTTCTTTCAAAATTGAAATCATACTAAGCATGAAATTTTGTATCCTGCTTTTTTAAGCTATAACTTAGCATTTTGCTTTTTACTTAAATGTTTGTGTAAACATGCATATAGGTGGCATAACTGTCTAACTGCATACCATCATATAGAGGTTTTACAATATATCTAAGTATTCCCTAAAGTTTGCTATATCAGGATTAATTCTGAGAATCAAGATTACAATGTCAAATAAAGTGGATATATATTTCTGTTATGTAAATAGCACTATAGTCCCAATTTTTACATAATCAATGAAAAAATTACATCTTCAAATGCCTTTTTAGCATACTTAGGAATTTGCATATTTTTTCATATATAATTTGTGGTTGATAAGTGTGCATTATTGCATTTAATAATAAACCAATCATGGCTGATCACTTTTAATTGTACTGTTTTGTTCTACTTCTCTGTACTCTATTTCATTTTT